>NC_000017.11:4430504-4582020 GCF_000001405.40 Homo sapiens | reverse complement strand
CATGCGGAGACAGTACTGGAACCTGGGCCCTGCCCCCACACCCAAGGTGCAGTACCCTCTTTCCTGCACGCCAGTCCCAGCTCACCTCCCAGTACAGCAGTCAGGTTCCACCAGGTCAGAGCAGCTCCTCCCTGCTCCCCGGATTGGCCGGAGGCCTTACTCCCCTGAAATTGCTCCTCAGAGGTCTCCAGTGCCCCCCATGGCCCTCGAGACCCCCCAGGACCACTCCCTCCTCCTCCTCACTTACGTGATTCTCCTCTTTCCCTCCCCAGTGACCTTCCTGACTGTGCTTCTGCTCCTCCCTTCACTGAGGTGGTCCCCAGGGCTCTGAGCTGGGCCTCCTCCCTCTCACCTGCACACCTGCCTGGGTGGTCTCACTCACCCCCACACCTGCACACTGCTTGCACCTCAGTGCCGACGACTCCCACTTCTCCGCCTGCCCCCAGCCTCTCCCCTGAACTTCCCACACACTCTCCAGACTCCTCAGGTCTGAGGGAACACAAGCAGGGCTTACAGCGTGGGGAAAGGACAGAAGGAGTGGGACGGCTGAATCCCCCAACTGAGGTGGGAGTGGGCTCTGTCCACCTGCCTGGCGCCACCCCTCCAGCCCTCTGCACCCCAGGTCCACATGCATGGTGCACACACACACACACACACACACACACACACACACACACACACACGGTCACGCATTGGACTCCATCCCTGGAGAGCAGGAGCTGTCTCAGCCATTAGGCTGTCCCCACACCTGGGGCAGCAGCTGGCTTTAGTAATGGCTCAATAAACATGTGTTAGTTGGGTCCTCTTGGAAAAGGGGACTCACTGGAGTCAGTGGAACCGATAGGATGCTGGATGGATGGACAATGGAGAATGAGGGAGGGAGAGAGGCAAGGATGGCTCCCAAATTCTGACTTGGGGATATGGAGGTACCATTCATTAGAATGGGTCACAGAGGCTGGGTGCAGTGGCTCACGCATGTAATCCCAGGCGTGGATCCCTCCTTTGGGAGGCTGAGGTGGGCAGATCACCTGAGGTCAGGAGTTCGAGACCAGCCTGGCCAACATGGCAAAACGCTGTCTCTACTAAAAATATAAAAATTAGCCAAGCATGGTGGTGTGTGCCTGTAATCCCAGCTACTCAGGAGGCTGAGGCAGGAGAACTGCTTGAACTCAGGAGGCAGAGGTTGCAGTGAGCTGAGATCATGCCACTGCACTCCAGCCTGGGTGACAGAGTGAGACTCCGTCTCAAAATGAAATACAATAATAAAATAAAATGGGTCTCAGAGAAGGTGCGTTAGAGGGATAGTGAGCTGTGGGGCTCCCCGGCCTGTCTACAAGCTCGCATCAGCCTCCTCACTGGGTCAAAGGCAGCTGCACACCTCACTGGGGATCCCTCCAAGCCCCTCCACCAGGAAGGAGTCAGGTTGGAGGGTCAGGCCCTTCTTGGCCCTGGCACACCCCCACGGAGGTCTCACTGTGTGGGGCAGCTAGCCGGCCTGGCCATCAAGGTCACAATCAGGAAGGTGTGTGCATCCTGCCATACCCTCTGACTCGTCGTGGTCTGCAGCCACAGGCACCCACAGGGAGCAAGCTAATGAGGCCTCAGAGGAGACGTGCACTCTAGGACTGGACCCCACCACCCTGGCAAACACGCCATTACCCCTCCTCCTCCCAAATCCTGAAATCCAGCCTCTGCCCTGGAAACTGTTGCCTTGTTATGAGATCCATAGGGGTGGGAACACAGGGCTTAGATTTATCTTTTCCTGCCAGGTTGCTGGATTCAGGAGCCAAGAAGAGCGATAAAGAGGGAGGTAGAGAACTTGGTGGAGGCTGTGCAGGAGTGGGGGCCCCATGCTGGGCACGTCTTGGAGCCTCCAAGTCTTATCTCCAGCTGGGTCCCAGGGCAGTGCCCAGGAGAGGGATGCATGGGTCTCTGCCCTAGACCCACAGCTCTGTCTGCCTGAAGCGGAGCCACAGGGGCTGATCCTGGGACCCTCCTGCCCTCTGGATAACTTCAACTCCGCTCCACCAAACCCTCCTTTAAATGCCGTCCCTCCATCCCAGCAGACATTCTGCCAGACACACGTCTACCTTTCAATGCTCATCTCTTTCCCGTGTACCTGAGGATGCGTCTGGGCATGTGTGATGCTTGCATGTGCATGTGTGGGTGTGTCTGTGTAGAGGAAAGAGCTGGGAGTTCAGGTGTTTATACTCCTTACCGGCGAGGATAGGTGGTGTGTGGAGTATGTGCACATTTGTAAGTACCCGTGTTTACAGGAGGGTTTTTCAATGCGCTTGCTTGTAGGTAGGGAATGTGTTTATATGCACACATACGTATATATGCCTCCAGTACCTGTGTCAGTGTAGACATCAGGACGTGTCCTATGCAGCTGATACTGTCCACATGCTTGTACATGTGTCACATGTGTACACATGCTTCCATATATTAAATGTTTGCAGGTATAATGTTGTGTGAGCATGAGTTTGAACACGTATATCACATGCCCCAGTTCTGGCTCACTCTAATCAGAAGTAGGCCTCTAGAAGAGGCAGATCCTGGCTGCTTTGGGATCTGCTAAAATTCTCAGCATATGGCTGGACAAGGTGGCTCACGCCTGTAATCCCAGCACTTTGGGAGGCCAAGGTGGGCGAATCACCTGAGGTTAGGAGCTTGAGACCAGCTTGGCCAACATGTTGAAACCCTGTCTCCACTAAAATAATACAAAAATTAGCCAGGCATGGTGGCGTGTGCCTGTAATCCCAGCTACTCAGGAGGCTGAGACAGGAAAATAGCTTGAACCCAGGAGGCGGAGGTTGCAGTGAGCAGAGATCACGCCACTGCACTCCAGCCAGGGCAACAGAGCAAGACTCCATCTCAAAAAAAAAAAAAAAAAAAAAAAAAGGGCTCCATCTCCGTCTCCGTCTCCGTCTCCGTCTCCCTCTCCCTCTCCCTCTCCCTCTCCCCATGGTCTCCCTCTCCCGATGGTCTCCCTCTCCCTCTCTTTCCACGGTCTCCCTCTCATGCCGAGCCGAAGCTGGACTGTGCTGCTGCCATCTCGGCTCACTGCAACCTCCCTGCCTGGTTCTCCTGCCTCACCCTGCCGAGTGCCTGCGATTGCAGGCACGCGCCGCCACGCCTGACTGGTTTTCGTATTTTTTTGGTGGAGACGGGTTTCGCTGTGTTGGCCGGGCTGGTCTCCAGCTCCTAACCGCGAGTGATCCGCCAGCCTCGGCCTCCCGAGGTGCCGGGATTGCAGACGGTGTCTGGTTCACTCAGTGCTCAATGGTGCCCAGGCTGGAGTGCAGTGGCGTGATCTCGGCTCGCTACAACCTCCACCTCCCAGCCGCCTGCCTTGGCCTCCCAAAGTGCCCAGAGTGCAGCCTCTGCACGGCTGCCACCCCGTCTGGGAGGTGAGGAGCGTCTCTGCCCGGCCGCCCTGTCTGGGAAGTGAGGAGACCCTCTGCCCGGCAGCCACCCCGTATGAGAGGTGAGGAGCCCCTCCGCCCCGCAGCCACCCCATCCGGGAGGTGGGGAGCGTCTCCGCCCGGCAGCCACCCTGTCCGGGAGGGAGGTGAGGGGGTCAGCCCCCCGCCCGGCCAGCTGCCCCGTCCGGGAGGTGAGGGGCGCCTCTGCCTGGCCGCCCCTACTGGGAAGTGAGGAGCCCCTCTGCCCGGCCACCACCCCGTCTGGGAGGTGTACCCAACAGCTCATTGAGAACGGGCCAGGATGACAATGGCAGTTTTGTGGAATAGAAAAGGGGGAAAAGTGGGGAAAAGATTGAGAAATCGGTTGGTTGCCGTGTCTGTGTAGAAAGAAGTAGATATGGGAGACTTCATTTTGTTCTGTACTAAGAAAAATTCTTCTGCCTTGGGATCCTGTTGATCTGTGACCTTACCCCCAACCCTGTGCTCTCTGAAACATGTGCTGTGTCCACTCAGGGTTAAATGGATTAAGGGCGGTGCAAGATGTGCTTTGTTAAACAGGAAAAAAAAAAAAAAAAAGAAAGAAGAAAATCCATCTCTACTAAAAATGCAAAAAATTAGCTGGGCGTGGTGGCATGCGCCTGTAATCCCAGCTACTTGGGAGGCTGAGGCACGAGAATCGTTTGAACTGGGGAAGTGGAGGTTGCAGTGCACTCCAGCCTGGATGACAGATCCAGACTCCATCTAAAAAAAAAAATCAGGATGGCTGTGATGTGGGGAAAGAAGAGAGTGAGCAGAGTTTCTTGCCCTCCTGCACCAACCTCTTGACCCCACTAAGGAAGAATTTCCCACAGGCCTCTGCGGAGGCCCAGGCTACCCGTTGAACAAACACCACCTATTCCTGCACAGAGGGGCTGCTGTCCTCCCCCAAGAGGCGGGGGCTGCGCAGGGTGTGGGGTGGAGACAGCTGCTTCCAGCCCAGATAAGGCTGTTGGGCTCAGATTTTCCATTTCCAGGATCCTCCCCCTTGGGTCCCAGCCCCTAAGCCCTGGCCCCATGGCCTGGAGAGGGCTCTACACTGACCCACTCAGCTCCCACCCTGAAAACTGCAAAGCCAGGAGGGGAGACTGAGTCCAGGAAGAACAGGCACATGTTTAAGGTCTTCAGGCAAAGCAGGGACAAGTTTGTCCTGGGCCACTGGGAATTGAAGAGGGGGTCTCTGGGGGCAGGCCAGGCCCAGCCTGGGTGGCCCTCAGAGCTCATATCCGGACTCTTGGACCTCCGGAAACCCACCCAGAGATGGGAGGAAGGAGGACTGGCCGCTCCTCTTACAACAACAGTCCCTGCACGCACTCTCCCTGTGGAGCTTGACTGCTCCAGCCCAGAGGATCTCCAACCGTGGGCCCTGTCCCCTTCTTCCCTCACCCCCTCCACAGCTTCCCACCAAAAGACCTGGTGCCTTCAGCCTGGCCTGGGCCTGCCTCCCTTCCCCCTTCTCAGAGACGGGGCCGGGGGAGGGGTTATTCATAGGCCCCGGCTCAGCAGCCTTCAGGACAAGAGGAGCCCGAGCTCCGGGGCTCTGCCCCCTGGGCCTTCCCCAGGGGCCTCACAGGCAGTGTCTGCTTTCAGCCCAGCAAAAGGCTGCGTCAGTCAGAGTGGGCAGTGGGGGTGGGGAGGCCAGGCCAAGGCAGGGGCTGGGCTGAGCCCTGGGCCTGGAGCCCACTGGAGCCGCTGCAGCCCATAGATCAGCGGGGCTTCCTCAAAAGTACCGTGGAGACTAACTGGGGCTGGGGCTGGCGGGGGAGGTCTCGGAGGCACCAGCCCCTCCTCGGCAAGGCCCGGAGGTGCCATCAAGCTGCCGCTTCCCCTATAGCCCCCAGCTGTGTCTTGATTTGACAACCTGTCCCAGCTAGGACCCCTACCCCTGACTCATGGGTCCCCTCGCCAACAGGGGAACGCCTGAGGGGGCCATTCAAGGCCCTTCCTAACCAGCCCCCCACCCACCTCTCCAACCCCCCTTTCTCAGCCGCTGCCGCCCACAAACACACAAACACAAAACTCTTTCGTGCTTCTGTGATTGTGCCTGGCCTTCTACTTCTCAAACGGACACATCCCTGCTCATCCTCCAGATCGGGGTCCAGCTTAACCACCCCCTTCTCCGGGAAGCCCTCCCTGATAAAGCCTGTCCTTACCTCCTTACCTCCACTAACCCTGCACGGTGCCCACTAGGACACATCCCTCCTCGCACTCCCCATCTTCCTCCTCCAAAGCAGGGCTTGTGTTTCTCAAGCAGTGGTCTCTGTTTAGGGTGTGTCTGTGTGGGCCACCTGCCCCCCTATCAGGTGAGGGGCTCTCTAAAGGGCAGGACCCTGTCTCCTTGTCCCTCTGTCCCCATCACTCACCCCCACTCCATCAGCCAATACTTGATGAATGAGTGAATTGCTGAATAAACAATGGATGATGAAGAGGAGAAGGGAGGGAAGGGAAGCAGGAAAGACCCCCTCTGTGTCTCCTGAGCCCAGGGTAACCGCTTGGTGTCCCAGTGGGCGGGAAAGTGGCAGGGGCAGCTCAGGCCAGGTCTCGGTGACACGGCTCGGCCCTGTGCAGCAGCCAGATCGGTCACCCTCATTCTTTCCAGATCAAAGTTCCCCCGGGGAACAGCCTGGAACCTGACACTGGCACCGGGAGGGTGGAGCCAACTGGCCCATGCAGGAGGAGGGCACCACGAGGCCGGGCGCCTATCCCCAGATCCAGGGACACCAGGCCAGCAGCCAGGAGGGACTAGATACAATATGCACGCTTACTCCAGCCCCAGCCCAGCCCCACCTGATACCGGGCCGCACGGGTGGTGGGAGGAACCCCTGGCTCCAGGCCTTTTTGACTCGGACTCCCCAGAGCTCTAACCCCCCATGGCCGGGGACTCGTTCCTTGCACGGCCACCTCCTGTACCAGCTTTGACTCACCCCAGCTCCCTCTCCCGACAGGCTCACTTTCAGATGCCCTCCAGGTACTTCCCTCCACCTCCCAGTCTCTGTTTCTCTGTCTTTGCTCCTCTCCATCTTGGCTCTCTGTATTTTTTTTGTTTTTTTTTTTGGAGACAAGGGTCCCGCTCTGTCACCCGGGCTGGAGTGCAGTGGCACAATCTCTGCTCACTGCAACCTCCGCCTCCCGGGTTCAAGCAATTCTCCTGAATCAGCCTCCTGAGTAGCTGGGACAACAAGTGCCCACCATCACTCCTGGCTAATTTTTATTTTCTTCTTTCTTTTTCTTTTTTTTTTTTTGTATTTTTAGTAGAGACGGGTTTCGCCATGTTGGCCAGGCTGGTCTCGAACTTCCGAGCTCAAGTGATCCACCCCCCTCGGCCTCCCAAAGTGCTGGGATTACAGGCATGAGCCACCAGCCCGTATTTCTGTATTCCTCTGTATTCTTTGTTCTCTCCTGGGTCCTGTATCCCGTATTCTCTCTATCTTGCTGTGTCTCTAGACATAAAGAACCGCAGTGAGGTGGCATGGTAGCCCTCTCCTCTAAGGAGGTAGCTGTCTTCACATATCTCCCTCCTCGCCAGGCCCTGGTCCCTACAGCCTGCAGGGAACAGATTGGTCCTGATGGTGGGCTGGGGATGGGAGAGAGTGGGAGAGAGACCCCATTGACCCTGCTGCAGCCAGGCCTCCTTGGCAGTCTCGGACTCTTGCGTCTGAATCTAGTGAGTAGGCAGGGGGAAGTGGGCAGAGCATGTCTGGGTCAGAGGGCTGGTGTCCCCAAGCCAGGCCCTGAGTCTGCCACTCTCCTGTCCTTCCCCCTTCCACTCTTGGCTGTGGACAAGCACGCCACTGTCAGAGGTAGCGTGGACTTCATGTCCCCCACCCTTGTATGCAAGCTAAGGCACGAGGGCACACAGGTGCACACACAGCAGAGAGATCCGCGGGACTCTGGATCCCAGTCATGGCTCACCACTCCTTGGGCCTCAGTTTCCTTATCTGTAAAATGGGGATCATAATAACAGTATCTGCATCCTAGGATTGTTATGAGGATTAAATTGGCTTATGTCTGTAAGTCCCTTACGAAGGCCCTTATGTCTGCTACATAGTGATCACACACACACACACACACACACACACACAAGAAAATGAATGAATATGCATATATGTTTAAAATTGACTCTTAATAAAAACTAGAGGTTGCTTTCACCTTTGTCCTGTTGCCCCAGGCTGAGCTGGACCTTGGTCACCAACAGGTCCAAACAGGCTTGATGTGAGTTGTTTTAATGCAAGTTGAAGAATAACACACAGCTCCGGGGTATGTGCATTTCTGCGGATCTGCTTGTGGAACAAAATTTAGTTCGTAACAGCAGCGGTATCACACACGTAGATAAGTTACAATGTTTCTGATTGAGATAGTTCAAACCATCTCCTTCTGCTTCAAACATATAGACATGAGATCTTTTAAAAAGTAATAATGACACAAACATGATCAATAACAAAAGACAGACAGTTTTGTAGACCAAAAATGGAGATTTCTCCTTAAGAGAAAGGAGACAGGAGCAGGCAGGGGAGACAGGAGCTGGTGCTGGCAGTCTCTGGGGGCGGGGAAGACAGCAGAGCTGAAGTTGGAGGGGATGGGCCACGGTGTAGATGCCGAGCAGGACTGGGGCCTGAGCCTGGCTGGCACTGGGACCCACGCTGCCAGTTAGTGAGCATGAGCCAGAGTGCCTACGCCTCCTCTCCAAGGTCATGGCAAAGACCACGCCACGTGCCTGTGGCTCAGCAGAGCCACCAAGCTCACAGGGACTTTCCCAGAAATGCATCACTCACATGAGGTGGAGCCCCATAGTAGACACTTCTGAGGAAACCTCTGTCTGGAGCCCAGCCCAATATGAACCAAGCTGAGGCCACCAACAGATGGCCTTGGTTTTTACAGACTCTCCAGACAACCTCACAACCAGGAGGCTGAGGCAGGAGAATCGCTTGAACCCAGGAGGCGGAGGTTGCAGTGAGCCGGGATGGCGCCAATGCATTCCAGCCTGAGTGACAAGAGTGAGACTCTGTCTAAAAAGAACAATAACAACAATAACAACACCTCAGTAACAAAATCACCTGATTTTTTAATGGGCAAGAGATTTCAACAGACACTTCAGCAAAGAAGATATATGAGTGGCAATAAGTGAATAAAATGATGTCCAATATCATTAGACATTAGGGAAATGGAAACTAAAACGATAATGAGATGCCACTACACACACACACATACACACACACACACACACACACACACACATATACACACACACACATAAACATACACACACACACACATATACACACACACATACACACACACACGCACAACCTTAAAAACTGACAATACTTAAGTGTTGCCAAGAATATAGAGCAACTGAACGTTCATCCAACGCTGGTGGGAAAGCAAAATGGCAGAGTTATTTTGGAAAATAATTTGGTGGTTTCTTGCTGAGTTAACCATATACTTACCATATGACCTGGCAATCTCACTCAGATATTTATCCAAGAAGAATGAAAACATACCTCCCCACAAAGCCTTGTACACAAATGCTTATAATGCCTATATTCATTATAGTAAACAATTGGAAACCATCCAGTCTACATCCATGGGTGAATCGATACATTGTGGTACATAGATACAATAAACACTACTTAGCAATGAAAAGAAAAAACGGATGCACGCAATGACATGGATGCTTCTCAAAGTCTTCATGCTAAGTGAAAGAAGCCAGATATGAACAAGTACATCTGGTATGATTCCATTTACAATATATAAGTCCTCAAAACATGATTTCTTAGGTAAACAGCAACATATAGGGATCAAAATCAGATGAGTGGTTGTCAAGGAGCAGAGGTGAGGGGTGGAGCAAAGGGGTACTAGGAAAATGCTTGGTTGTTGGAAATGGTCTTTGTCTTTTTTTAAAGTGTTAGAAATAATGTTTTATTGTCACCCAGATGGTATTTGAGTTTATAGTCTTCATGCTTTATATTTTTTTGTAAATTAAAAAAATTACAAGTTTTAAATAGCCAATGGCTGGTTATGTTTTCAGAAAACACGATTAGACTAATTCATGAATGGTGGCTTCAAGCTTTTCCTTATGGGCTCCAGAAAATTCACCCACCTTTTGTCCCTTCTTAAAACACTGGAATGTTGGCATGCATTCGGCTTCACACTCTGAAGCAACATCCTGACAGTCATCCACATCTACTTCAAGGAATACCACGCTGGAATACTTTCCAGAGAGGGGATAAAGAAAGGCTTGATCATTTTGCAAGGCCCACACCACGTGGCCGAGAAGTCAACTATTACAAGTTTATCGCCTGTGGCATCCAAGGCTTCCTAAAAAGCAAGTTTGCTCTCGATCTCCTTCACCATCTTGGCTGCTGAGGTCTGAGGAGCGGCTTTTTTTTTTTTAATAGGGAACTGACCGTATTCATTTGTAGCCTGTTACCCCATAATTCTTTAGGATGTTCAAAGCTGGAGTGACCATATGCCCGTCCCTGTTCCTCTTGACACTCAGTGAGAGGCAGCCATCTGAGTAAGTGGAAGTGTGATATTCGCTCCGGGCATTATGTCATGAGCCTTAAATCCAGAATACACTGGATTGAGTCTTTCAGCCCAATAGTTTGCCGCCGTTGCCAGATTTGGGAGCATCCGAGGAGAGACCTCAAATCATAATGGGGTGGTGCAGGGCTCCCCCATACTCAAAAAACTTTCCGTGTGTTTTCCAGGCAAGTGTCTTTCTCCTCGAATACAACAATCTTGGTTACAACTGACAGTAGTGCAATAGATCGGTCAGTACACTGATCCAGGAACATCTTGATGGTATAGCATGTTGTCATTCGCACTCTACCAGCCACTAGTCTAACCTGGTCGAGTAGCTTTTTCCAGGGACTCAAATTCTCCATTATCAAAGCACAGACAAGTGGTCCGACCCACGGTCTCGAATTAAACCAGTTAGTCACCAGCCCTGCGTTGTCATTGAGTGACAGGTTGGCACCATCCCTGTGTGTTGGTCGTTGGAGAGACACCATCAGGGTCTTGAATCATTTTTGAGCCTAGAGACTATTAGCATGCATTTTGTCCCTCGACCCTGCTACTATGTTGCCCACCGGGTCACAACAGTGCTGAGGTACAGATGATATCTCGAAGGATGTGAATTCCAGGTCCTTCCCGTTGAGGATTTCGCCATACAGTGTTTTGATTTTGTTCTTTCCACTACTGGAATCATAAGATACAACTCCCTGGAGAGTCCTACAGATAAGAGATTCTCACGTTAACACCTCAGACAAAAAGCAGAGAAACACCTAACTTGCTGTGATGGGATGAGGTGTGATCAATGGGTTGGATCGAGCATCAATTTGGGTGCTCTAAATTTTCCACTTCCCCAGTGCCAGGATGTGGTTCATCTACATAGGTTGGGTACTGCCCAAATTTCCCACTTAGCTCAAAGGACTTCCGCCCAGGAAATGGTCATGCAGAGGGAGGCTTGGAACTATCCACGGGGTCCTCCATGGTGAACTATAGTGTTGGCTGCGGGAGCAATCGGTTCCTTTGTTGTCTTAATTGTGGTGTCAGTTGCTGGCAATATACACAAAAATTGGTGACTTTTACTTTATGTAAATTATACCTCAGCTGGGCGCGGTGGCTCATGCCTGTAATCCCAGCACTTTGGGAGGCTGAGGTGGGTGGATCACGAGGTCAGGAGCTCGAGACCAGCCTGGCCAATATGGTGAAACCCTGTCTCTACTAAAAATACAAAAATTAGCTGGGCTTGGCGGTGGGCGCCTGTAGTCCCAGCTACTTGTGAGGCTGAGGCAGGAGAATTGCTTGAACCCGGGAGGCGAAGGTTGCAGTGAGCCGAGATTGTGCCACTGCACTCCAGACTGGGTGACAGAGCAAGACCCCGTCTCAAAAAAAAAAAAAAATATATATATATATATATATATAAATACCTCAATAAATCGGATTTTTAAAATCCAAGTCCTGGAGCAGTGGCTATGCCTATAATCCCAGCATTTTGGGAGGCCGAAGTGGGAAGATTGCTCAAGCCTAGGAGTTCAAAACCAGCCTGGTGAACATGACAAGACCCCATCTCTACAAAAAAAAGTTTTTAAATTCAGTGCATGAGAGATGTGCTGGCTGATAGTGGTTTTGATCACATCTTGAAGAGAGTTGGCTGCACTGGAAACTGGTACCCCTAAAATCTCTTGTAGGAAAAGGATGTGTGATTGTTTCCTATGGACCAGATGTGAGCTATGAGGGAGGGAGAACCAGCATCAGGCCACATTAAAACCTGCCCAACCTTGAGCAAGAGTTATTTAAAAAAACAAAACAAAACAAAAAAAGAATAAAACCTGCCCAGGAACACCACCTGGAGAGAAAGATGCGGCCCCAGCAGCAAGAAACTGATGCCTGAGCTGCTTGTGAGCCAAGAAGAGTTCAGCTATACCCGGGGAATTGGAGGTGAGACCCCAATAATGGGGTCGGCTGGAGGTCTTGGAAGGACTTTAAAAAGTGTCCCAATAGATAAAAAGTCAGCTGTATACAAAGCCCAGGAAGCTTCTGTACCAGCTCGTACAATACAAAATCAGATCTTTCCTGCCCCTTTTTACCTCTTCCCCCGCCATGTCAACCCTGGGGGTACAAAAGCAGCCAAGTGAGTGAGGAGGAGAATCCCAGGGTGTAGGAGCAGGTGGGGGTTGGAGGGTACATTGAGAAGTTAATTAGAGTCTCTCCCTCTTCACCATACCCTTTCATACACACACACACACATACACACACACACACACAGCCTTTTCCTGTTGCATGCTACTTGCCCAAAACAGACTGAGAAGGTGCAAGGGAGAAGTTTTTAACTTTAAATGGACTTTTACATTTGGGGGAGGGGCTGTGGGGTGTTTTGGGTTTTTTTGGCTTATACTTTTTTTTTGCATTTTTTCATCATGATACAATATACATAACACACAATTTACCATTTTAACCAATTTACAATCATTTCAGTGGCCCCAAATATGCTCATGCTGTTGCGCAGCCATCCACAGAAGCTACTCATCCCAGACGGAACCCCACACACATTAAACAACAAGTCCCAGCCCACCTCCCCCAGCCCCTGGCAACCACTGCTCTACCCTCCAGCTCCATGAATGGGACCACGCTTATTTTTTAATTGCAATTATTGAAATGAACCTTTTTTTTTTTTTTTTTGAGGCAGGTTCTCACTCAATCTCGCAGGCCGGAGTGCAGTGGTGCGATCTCAGCTCACTACGACCTCTGCCTCCCAGGTTCAAGTGATTCTCCTGCCTCAGCCTCCCGAGTAGCTGGGATTACAGGCACCCACCACCCTGCCTGGCTAATTTTGTACTTTTAGTAGAGACGGCGTTTCACCATGTTGGCCAGGCTGGTCTCAAACTCCTGACCTCAGGCGATCCACCCGCCTCAGCCTCCCAAAGTGCTGGGATTACAGGTGTGAGCAGCCACTGCGCCTGGTTGAAATGAAACTTTTATAACTTGAAGTGACCCAAAAACTTTTTACCAAAAGAGAGTGTCCCAAAAAGACATGGGCCTGCCCTATATTCCATTCAAAAGAATGGTGATGGGCCATCCCCACAAAACACATTTGAATGGAGATTAGGAGATTAAAATAAAGGCAGACTGTGAGTCCTATTTGTTCAACCTCACAGCTACACAAAGGAGCTTTATTTTGCCCATGTGACAAGAAACGTAAAGATCTAGAGTCCAGGGCTGACACCGCTGGTTGAGATGTCAGTAAGGCCCAGCCTCCGTTTACTGCCTGCCGCACTGTCCTTGGTGCAGCCTTGCCATCCCCGGGGCCCAGGCCTAGAGTCGGAATTCCAGCAGGAAGAAAGCGAAAGGGCAAAGACTCTTTGGAGAATTGGGAAAATCATTCCTGTGTTCCGTGGTTCAGAGGAGTGACCTGGTTGACAAAGCCTGCTCTAAAGGATCAAGAAGCGAGAAGTAGCGGGCTCAGTGGCTCACGCCTGTAATCCCAGCACTTTGGGAGGCCGAGGCGGGCGGGTCACCTGAGGTCAGGAGTTCGAGACCAGCCTGGCCAACCTGGTGAAACCCCGTCTCTACTAAAAAATGCAAAAATTAGCTGGTTGTGGTGGCACATTCCTGTAATCCCAGCTACTCAGGAGGCTGAGGCAGGAGAATTGCTTGAACCCGGGAGGTGGGGGTTGCAGTGAGCTGAGATCATGCCACTGTACTCCAGCCTGGATGACAGAGTAAGACTCTGTCTTAAAATAAATACGTAAATAAAAAGAATCGAGAAGCAGCATGGCAGAGTCTCTCGATAGGGCCAGACTGGCCAATGATTCTAATCTCCAAATCTCCAAATACTGAAGTCACACACACATATGAAAAGGCCTGGGGAGGGCTGGGTACAGTGGCTCAAACCCAGGCTATTTAATAATTCCCAGTTAGAAAATCTAGGCCGGGCGCGGTGGCTCACACCTGCAATCCTAGCACTTTAGAAGGCCAAGGTGGGCGGATTGTCTGAGCTCAGGAGTTCGAGGCCAGCCTGGGCAACGTGGTGAAACCCCATCTCTACTAAAATACAAAAATTAATTAGCTAGGCATGGTGGTGCACACTTGTAATCCCAGCTACTTGTGAGGCTAAGGTGGGCGAATCACTTGAACCTGGGAGGGAGAGGTTGCAGTGAGCCTAGATCGCACAACTGCATTCCAACCTGGGTGACAGAATGAGACTTCATCTCAAAAAAAAAAAAAAAAAAAAGAAAAAGAAAAAAAAAGAAAGAAAAAAGGAAAAAGAAAATATAGATGCTTTGGGAGGTGGTGGGCAGATTGGTTGAGCCCAGGAGTTTGAGACCAGCCTGGGCAACATAGCGAAACCTCATCTCTACAGAAGATGTAAACATTAGCTGGGCATGGTGGTGCATACCTGTGATCTCAGCTACTCAAAAGGCTGAGGCAGGAGGATCACTTGAGCCTAGGAGATCAAGGCTGCAGTGAGCCACGACTGCACCACTGCACTGCAGCATGGGTAACAGAGCAAGACCCTGTCTCAAAAATAAATACATAAATAAATAAAATTTTAAAGACCTGGGGACAATTCCCGAACTGACTGAGCTTAGGCCCCATGTTTGCCTTGGCTACACAAGCAGGGGAGACTGAGGAAGGATCTGCTCCCTCGACCTCTGTAGTGGGAGAGAGTGGGGGAGGCAGGCACTGTTATTCACCTCTGTCATATAAATGAGTTGTGCCTTGAGTCCTACGCTGTTTACTTCTTCGCAACAGGACTGCTAGCTCAAAAACCCCATGAGAGCTAAACTCAGTTTTTTACACATCCAATTGCTTTAAATTAAAAAGCCCAAATAAACATATTTCTAGCCACTTAGAGCCTGCCTGCTTTATATACCCTGCCAAACTGCACCCAACATCTGCTGGCCATAGAGAGGACAAACCCTGGGGCTGTAAAAGCCCAAGCCAGGGCTGCCCTTGGCAGTTCTTTGACCCGGAGACACCCCTCCTCATCTAGACATGTAAACCCCGTCTCTGATACCCCTCTCCCCAGAAGCTCTCTTGTCTTCTCTTTCTGGATGGTGGCCCTGCATCACTATCCTTAGAAGGACCCCTGCTACGGGGGACTTCCCCTCACAGGTAACTCTGTCCCAGAGCCATCCCAATAAAGCTCATTGCCTGCTACTGCCATCTCGTGGTCATTTTCCTCTAGGTCAGCCCCAAACCCTAGAACTGCTAATGACCTTGGCTTCTCTCCCCAGGATTCGACACACAGTAGCAAGGAATAATTCCCTATTAGAAAATCTGGGCCGGGCACGGTAGCTCACGCCTGTAATCCCAGCACTTTGGGAGGCCGAGGTGGGCAGATCACCTGAGGTCAGGAGTTTGAGATCAGCCTGACCAACATGGAGAAACGCTGTGTCTACTAAAAAAATACAAAATTAGCCGGGCATGGTGGTGCATGCCTGTAATCCCAGCTACTTGGGAGAGGAAAACTCTGCCTCAAATAAAAAGAAAGAAAGAAAGAAAGAAAAGAAAATCTGGGCCAGGCATGGTGGCTCACGCCTGTAATCCCAGCACTTTGGGAGGCCAAGGTGGGCAGATCACCTGAGGTTGGGAGTTCAAGACCAGCGTGACCAACATGGAGAAACCCTGTCTCTACTAAAAAAAATACAAAAATTAGCCAGGTGTGGTGGTGCACGCCTGTAATCCCAGCTACTTGGGAGGCTGAGGCAGGAGAATCGCTTGAACCTGGGAGACAGAGATTGCAGTGAGCTGAGATCGCGCCACTGCACACATAGTGAGACTCTGTCTCAAAAAAAAAAAAAAAAAAAAAAGAAAAAGAAAAAGAAAATCTGGATGCTATTAGGGAGAAGAATGGAGGGTAGGCAGCCAGGAACCTGGTTGTGGTGGCACACAGGTAATGTCTAAGATAAATAAGACTCTCCGTACAGGACAAAGGCTGAGGCCCAAAGGCAACTAGAATACGTTTGACAAGAGGTAAAAGCAGTGAATAAAGAAGTAGATGCTACCAGGAAAGAGACACCACAAGCGCCTCATAATTCATCCCTTCTGCTTTAGAAATATGAAGAAAAAAAAATTGACAAAGCAATGGGCTCCTGCTGGAATTGAACTTCCTTAGTGTGAGTCTCCTTAGTCCAGGTCTAAGACACACTCTTCCTGAGAGCCAACAGGTCAGGAAAGCACAAATGCCCTCTTTACCTCTGCAGAGACTTTGAGCCAGCGTCCAACGTGATCCAGCGTGATCCAATGTGATCCGGCGCTGCTTCTGCCTCCCTGTTTCCCGCTTCAAACTGCAAGTGCTGTTTGCTGCCCTCTAGGGACTCCTAGAAGTATATGCAGCAGTCAGTGTTATTAACTGTAAACAAAAGACACGCTTCTGCCTGAGTTAAATAGAAAATAAATTTATGAAAAATCTATGGGCACAGAAAGTGGATGGGGGGTAGAGCTGTTGGAGAGCTAGCTCAGAGGCTATGCGGCCAAGACCAATGCTCAAAATCACGTTGCAGAACTGTCTGGGGAAGGCACCACTGTCTCCACCTCATCTGAGCACCAGCTGCCATGGTTTATATCCCTGACACTGACCATTAGATACTGTGTTGCCACAACTCTGAGGCAAGATTGTAAAGGTGCACTGCTGTCCCTACCAGGTAAAAACAAATGACTTCTGGATTATCTGGCTATTGGGATAAAGAACAAAGCATTTGGCTGGGCACGGTGGCTTATGCCTGTAATCCCAGCAATTTGGGAGGCCGAGGCAAGCAGATCACCTGAGGTCAGGAGTTCGAGACCAACCTGGCCAACACAGTAAAACCCCGTCTCTATTAAAAATACAAAAATTACCCAGGCATGGTGGCACATGCCTGTAATCCCAGCTACTCGGGAGGCTGAGACAAGAGAATCGCTTGAATCTGGGAGGCAGAGGTTGCAGTGAGCCGAGATTGTGCCACTGTGCTCCAGCCTGGGTGACAGAGACTAACTCCATCTCAAAAAAAAAAAAAACGAAAGAAAGCATTTTCTAGGAGCTATGTTGATTTTCCCCATAAAGAAACACCTAGAGGCCGGGCATGGTGGCTCATGCCTGTAACCCCGGCACTTTGGGAGGCCGAGGTGGGTGGATCACCTGAGGTCAGGAGTTCAAGACCAGCCTGGCCAACGTGGTGAAACCTTGTCTCTACTAAAAATGCAAAAATTAGCCGGGTGTGGTGGCGGGCACCTGTAATTCCAGCTACTCGGGAGGCTGGGGTAGAATTGCTTGAACCCAGGAGATGGAGGTTGCAGTGAGCCGAGATTGCACCACTGCACTCCAGCCTGGGCAACAGAGCAAGACTGTCTCAAAAAAAAAAAAAAAAAAGAAAGAAAGAAAGAAAGAAAGAAAGAAAGAAAGAAAGAAAGAAAGAAAGAAAGAAAAAAAGAAACACCTAGAACAGCAGCTACAATTTGAGTGACTTTTTTTTTAAACTATATCTACTGTTATTTTCCAAGGCCCATCTGTCTTCTGCCTTGTACAAGCCCCTAAATTAAACTGAAATATGATAGGAATCACTACCTTTTTTGTTTTTTTAAGACAGAGTTTCCCTCTTGTTCCCTCTTGAACCCGGGAGGTGGAGGTTGCAGTGAGCCGAGATCGTGCCATTGCACTCCAGCCTGGGCAACAGAGCAAGGCTCCATCTCAAAAAAAAAAAAAAAAAGAATGAGGATTTGCCATTTACTAGGGTAACTGTAAACTCAGGAAATGGGAATACCCATGTCTTTCAGGGACTATTGGATGCTGGCTCTGAGTTAAGAATTTCTGAATGCCATTGTATCACAACTGGAATCACCTGGAATAATTTTTTAAAAGTACTTTAACAATAATATTCTGGCATTTTGGTCACATTGCACAGAGAGAGATACCTTGCAAAGAAAAGCCCCTTCTATCCCCACCCCCAACCCTGCCACATACGCATACGTCATTGTCTCCATTCTATAATTAGAGTTAAATCCCAGCATGTCCAAGAAGGCCAATTATAAAGTCAACCTGGGGAAAGACTTAACACACACGTGGGGTCCATACTCTTCCCTGTTCCTCGTCTCAGGGGTCCCTTCTTGGTTAGAAGGAGCAGTCAGAGGCCAGGTGCAGTGGCTCAAGCCTGCAATCCCAGCACTTTGGGAGGTCAAGGCTGAGAGATCAATCTGAGGCCAGGAGTTTGAGACCAGCCTGGTCAACATAGTGAAACCCTGTCTCTATTAAAAATACAAAAATTAGCCGGGTGTGGTGGTGGACGCCTGTAATCCCAGCTACTTGGGAGGCTGAGGCAGGAGAATCGCTTGAACCCGGGAGGCGGAGGTTGTGGTGAGCCGAGATTGCACCATTGCACTCCAGCCTGGGCAACAAGAACGAAACTCCATCTCAAAACAAAACAAAACATCATCATGACTGAGACTCACTTTCAGAGAAGCTGATTCAATTGGCGTGGGAGTATGAGAAAGGGAGGGACCAGGATATTGGTGTTTGGGGTTTTTCCAGTTGCTACAGGTGATTTCAATTGCAGACATCACTAGCTAAAGCAGTGGTTCTCAACCTTGCCTGCCCATTGAAAACACCTGGGAAGCTTCAACAATGGATGAAGCTACAATTTAGAGGTCCTGATTTCATTATTTAACTGGTCTGCATAGGTATTAGAATTTTTCAGAGCTTGCCAGGTAATTGTAATGTGTATCTAAGGTTGAGAACCATTAGGATAAGTGGACGAATGAAGAAATGAATGAAGAAATTAATGAATCTACAGACTTCAAGCCACCTTTTGCGTGTGTGTGTGTGTGTGTGTGTGCATGGACATGCGAATGTAGATTATCCATAATAATCACTGGGGAGACTGAGGCTCACAGAGCAGAGAGAAAGGAACTCATGCTTTTGGAGGGACTGCTCTGTACTAAGCACTGGTCTAGAGGCTTTAAACATATTTTCTTGTGTAATCCTCAAAACAACCCTAGGAGGACAAATATTGTTATCCTCATTTTACAGAAGTGGAGTCAAGACTCCCAGAGGTTAAATATCTCACCTGCAGTCATATATTCAGTTACTAGCAGACACAGAACTAGACCCAGTTCTCCAGAAGCCATTGCCAACCCCCACCCCTACTCTGAGCCCTCAAATGACTGACTCCATCTACCCCTGGAGCTACTTTGGCCTGAGCACGTTTATCCCCAGCACCCAGCTACATCGAATTGGAGCTTAGCTAATAGGTCCAGAGCTGCAGGAATGAGAAAGGAATGAGAGGTTCTGGGAACTAGGAAATGTTCCCAGAACCTAACTAGTGGAGGTCTTGTCCAAAGAACTTGTCAGGACCTAGCTCTAAGAGCAGAGGAATGTTGGCTGGGCAGGGTAGGGGCCGAAAATAATTCTGCCTGCTGGACAAAAGGAATAATGCTAGGAGCCCGAAGGCCAGGCTGAGGCTGGGGCAGGAGATGGGGGCAGCACAGAGCCCTAAGGCTCTCAGATGCCTTTTCCCAGGAAGGAAGGATGGACCTTCATTCTGAGATTCTAACCTTCTTACCCTGTGTTAACAGAAAGTGAAACCAAATTATTTTATGACATAAATGTCATAAAATCATAAAAATGGTCATTTTGATTCCCATCTCCCCACCATTGGCAAAATTAGAAGGTGGCAACCCTAGGCTGCTCTATTTGGTTGGTTGGTTGGTTTTTTATTGGCCCAAGAAAAAAAAAAAAGGAAACCAAAGGTTTCTCTGGGGAACTAGAGACAGAAACCAGCTAAGGGAAGAAACAGGAGAGAAAGAAGTGAACACAGCAGGTGTACACTTTTTTTTTAGACTGAAGGTGTGGTTCCAGGACTGTGGCAATTGGGATAGCACATTCTAGACCCTACACCTGAAGCCAGACTTTCTAGGAGAGGAGCCTAGCGATCTGACTTAACAAGCTCCTCAGGTGATCGTGATGCACACCAATCTTAAAGAACCCGTGTACTTGCTCGTGAAGAGGCCATGAGAAAGGGAAGCAGCTGGAGAGCCAGATGGGATGATGGATGATTCAAAGGATGATTTTTATGGTTGTTGTTTTAATGTAGAAAATACCTGAGCTTTTCCATTTTTACTTTTTTATTGAAAGACAATATTCACATAGAAAAGTACACGTCATCAATGCCCAACTCAATGCATTTTCACACCCAGGGCACTCGTGTCACCAACACTCAGATTAAGAAACAACATCTCGGCCGGGCGCGGTGGCTCACACCCGTAATCCTAGTACTTTTGGGAGGCTGAGGCGGGCGGATCACCTGAGGTCAAGAGTTCAAGACCAGGCTGGCCAACATGGTGAAACCCTGTCTCTACTAAAAATACAAAAAATTAGCCAGGCGTGGTGGCATGTGCCTGTAATCCCAGCTACTCGGGAGGCTGAGGCAGAAGAATTGCTTGAACCCAGGAGGTGGAAGTTGCAGTGAGCTGAGATTGCACCATTGCACTCCAGCCTGGGCAACAAGAATGAAAACTCTGTCAAGAAAGAAAGAAGAGAAAGAAAAGAAAGGTAAAGGAAAAAGGAAAGGAAAGAAAGGAAGGAAAGAAAGGACATCTCCAGCATTCCAGAAACCCCCTGGTACCTCCTCCAGTCACTATCTGACTTCTAAGGGCAGACTGTTGTTGCTCTTTTGTTGTTGCCTGTTTGTGTACTTTGTGTAAATGAAAGCATATAGCGTGCGCTGTCTCCTGCCTGGCTGCTTTCCCTCGTCCTTATGCTTGTCAGACCTGTGTATATTATTGCATATAATTGTAGATCACTCACTCTCTTTGCTGCAGAGTGGTCCATTGTGACTTACATCATTCATTCTAACGATAATGGATGTTTGGGCACTTTCCAATTTGGGACTGTTACAAACAGCACTGTTTTGCAACAAGTCCTTGATGGGAATCCCAGAATGAATTTAGAAATGTTGGTTTCCAGGCTGTGGCGCTACCTTCTGGACAAGAGTCGCAAAACACGCACAGGGAGTTACGAACCAAGTTGCTCCTCAAAGAAACCCAGACCCAGAGTAGCCACAGGCTGAGCCTTGACCCCGGCCAGAGACCAGACACCCCTACGCCAGAACCTAGTCACGTGCAGACTCAAGCACGTGGGAGCTCTGACCCAAGCCACCGTGAAACCGTAGCTCTAATTCAAGTCCACAGTCCCTAGAGTCCCAGGTGGGTGGGATCCATGGGCTACATCCCCCAAGGGGAGGAGCCCAGCAGGTGCCCTGAGTATCAAGGTTGTGGCATTAAGGCTGAACTCCTTCTCGACCTCACTGAGCTGTGGCCCCTTACAGGCAGTCACCCCGGGAACCCTGTCGCGAGAGCTCCTCGGGCCTTGTGTCCTAATGGGGCAGGCTCACATGCAGCCTCCTTGGCCCCGTGCCCTGCCCAGACCTGTTCTGGATTCCACCCCCACCCTTCCCCAAGGTCGCTGCCACCTCCCACCTGCCAGGCTTGGGCAGGGCCTCTGAGACACAGCCGGAAAGGCTGGCAGGCAGGAGGGCTGGGGCGAGCACTGGGGGGCCATGGAGCGGGCAGAAGAGCCCGTGGTCTATCAGAAGCTGCTGCCCTGGGAGCCAAGCTTGGAGTCGGAGGAGGAAGTGGAGGAGGAGGAGACATCAGAGGCGCTGGTTCTAAACCCCCGGAGGCACCAGGACTCTTCCAGGTAAGTAAGGGAGGGGTCTGGGCACCAGGCTCCCCAGGCTTGAGGTTGGCAAGTCCCTCTCTCTGGAGCCCCTCAGGGGGACCAGGCGACTCCCCGCTGGGTTTAGCTCCAGGCACTGTACGGTCAATTTGGGGGAAAACCCAGGCTGTAGCCCGAGACTTGGCCTGACCCAATCAAAAGTCTGTGCATCTGGAGGGACATTTGTACCAAGCCAGCCTCTGTCCCATCTGCTGCTTTGTCAAAGGTCCCCAGCCCCCAAGTCCTGGTGCAGGAGGCACCTGCTGGGCAGGTTGGGGCCTGACTACGCCTGGCTGGGCCTGCTCCCCAGCCCCTTCTCTCCTGCCTGCCACACCCCACTGGGCCTCCCTCCCACCTGAGTGGACTCTGCCCCACCAATCTCCCCTCCAGAGGCTCCCTCCCTAGCTAGGCTCAGTTTCCCCAGATGCTTTCCCATCCCCATGTCTGCCCAAGATGCACCCGCTGCCAAGAAGCCCTTTCTCCTTGGCTGACTTGTGCTCCTCTTGCTAAATCAAACCTTTTGGGAAATATTCCCTGGGGTCTCTTGGGGTCCTTGGGCATCCCTCTGTCCCAGCCGTGGCTCAGGACACCCCCCCTCTGCAGGAACAAGGCTGGCGGGCTGCCCGGAACCTGGGCCCGTGTAGTGGCAGCCCTGCTGCTGCTGGCTGTTGGCTGCTCCCTGGCTGTGAGGCAGCTCCAGAATCAGGGCAGGTCGACAGGAAGCTTGGGCTCTGTGGCCCCTCCACCCGGCGGACACTCCCACGGCCCTGGCGTATACCACCACGGTGCCATCATCAGCCCTGCAGGTCAGTCAGTGCTGGGGGCGGCTTGGGGAGGGGAGGGTCAGGGGTCACCAGCCCAGCCTAGCCCCCCTCCTTGCTGCATGACAGTGCCTTCCTTGCTGCAGCCACATGCTCCCACCTAGGCCGAGAGCTGCTTGTTGCCGGGGGCAACGTCGTGGATGCTGGAGTTGGAGCTGCATTGTGCCTGGCAGTGGTGCATCCTCATGCCACGGGGCTAGGTCAGTGACCCCTGACCCCAGACTGCAACCCCAACCCACAGCCTGATCAGTGACCTGGAACTTAGGGAGTCAGTAGCACTGACCTCAAGACTGCTAAGTGAGCAGGACTTAGGGTTTGGGCAGCAGTCCAACCCCAGGCTATGACCCTTGAGCCCGGGTCTGTGGAACTTTGACCTCAGGCCTGGTCAGTAACTCCTGATCCCAGGCTCAGTCAAGGGATCTTGACTGAAACAAGTCAGTGACCCTTGACCTGCGGCTGCTGAGGGACCCCTCTGTCTCCTGCAGGTGCCATGTTTTGGGGCCTCTTCCACGATAGCTCCTCAGGCAATTCCACGGCCCTGACATCAGGCCCAGCACAGACCCTGGCCCCCGGCCTGGGGCTGCCCGCGGCTCTGCCCACCCTGCACCTGCTGCATGCACGCTTCGGCCGCCTGCCCTGGCCACGCCTGCTAGTGGGCCCCACCACGCTGGCTCAGGAGGGCTTCCTGGTGGACACACCCCTGGCAAGGGCTCTGGTGGCTCGGGGCACAGAAGGCCTCTGTCCACTACTTTGCCATGCTGATGGGACACCCCTGGGCGCTGGGGCCCGAGCCACCAACCCACAACTGGCAGCTGTGCTTCGCAGCGCAGCCCTCGCTCCCACCTCAGACCTTGCTGGGGATGCTCTACTGAGTCTACTGGCGGGAGACCTGGGGGTGGAGGTGCCCTCGGCTGTGCCCAGGCCCACTTTGGAACCAGCAGAGCAGCTACCTGTGCCCCAGGGCATCCTGTTCACCACCCCCAGTCCCTCAGCTGGCCCAGAACTGCTGGCACTGTTGGAGGCAGCCCTGCGCTCCGGGGCGCCCATCCCTGACCCCTGCCCACCGTTCCTGCAGACTGCTGTGAGCCCCGAGAGCAGTGCCCTGGCCGCCGTGGACAGCAGCGGCTCTGTGCTCCTTCTCACCTCCTCGCTCAACTGCTCCTTTGGCTCTGCACACCTGTCCCCAAGCACTGGGGTTCTGCTCAGCAACCTGGTGGCCAAGTCTACCACTAGTGCCTGGGCCTGCCCCCTCATCCTCCGTGGCAGCCTGGATGACACAGAGGCTGATGTGTTGGGGCTTGTGGCTTCAGGGACCCCTGATGTGGCCAGGGCCATGACTCACACCCTACTCAGGCATCTGGCAGCAAGGCCCCCTACCCAGGCCCAGCACCAGCATCAGGGTCAGCAAGAACCAACAGAGCATCCCAGCACTTGTGGCCAAGGGACCCTGCTCCAGGTGGCAGCCCACACAGAGCACGCCCATGTCTCCAGTGTCCCCCATGCCTGCTGCCCCTTCCAGGGGTTCTAACAGGATGGGGGTGGGTCTGGCAGAAGGCAGAGTTATCTGAAGCATGGGGGCAGGAGCAGAGCAGACACAGCAGCAATGGAGTGTGCACCCGCAGGGTGTGGTGCCTCACACCTGTAATCTCAGCACTTTGGGTGGTCAAGGCAGGAAGATACCTCGAGGCCAGGAGTTTGAAACTAGCCTAGACAACAAAGCAAGATCTCATCTGTACTAAAAATTTAAAAATTTGCCAGGGGCGGTGGCACATGCCTGTTGTCCCAGCTGCTTGGGAGGCTGAGGCAGGAAGCTCGCTTGAGCTCAGGAGTTCAAGGCTGCAGAGAGCTAGGATCACACCACTGCACTCCAGCCTGGACAACAGAGTGAGAACCTGTCTTTAAAATAATAATAATAATAATAAAAAAATAGCTGGGTGCGGTGGCTCATGCCTGTAATCCCAGCACTTTGGGAGGCCAAGGCAGGTGGATCACCTGAGGCTAGGAGTTCGAGACCAGCTTGGGCAACATGGCGAAACCCCGTCTCTACTAAAAATACAAAAAATTAGCTGGGCATGGTGGCGGGCACCTGTAATCCCAGCTACTTGGGAGGCTGAGGCAGGAGAATCACTTGAACCCGAGAGGTGGAGGTTGCAGTGAACCAAGATCGCACCATTGCAACCCCACCTGGGCAACAAGAGGGAAACCCTGTCTAAAAAAAAAAAAAAAAAAAAGGATTTATTATGTGCTCACTGCTGGCTCAGGCCCCAACCTCTGGCCTTTTAAGTTACCTAGACTTGAGTTCTGGCATCCAGAGCTAACAATCATTCTTCAGATCACCCACACCGGATGGAATCTCTAGCTATTTTATCAGCTAAGAAAATCAGGGTAATAACGAAAAAGCAGTAGGGCCTGGGGCTAGCACTGAGTTCAGATCCAGCTTTCAGGAGGACAGTGGAAAGAGTGCAGAGCCTCTGCCTAGGCCCTGGGCCCCACGAAGCAGGACAGGCAGAGCCCAGGGTACTGTTGGCATCTCTGTCCTTCCCTTCAGGACACCCCTTACCTATCTGCCTCAACCAGACTGGGTACAAAATAAAGATCAAGTCTCCCGGAAACCAAGCACCATTCCTGCTTCTTGGTTAATTTTCCAACAGCTTTTGAAGCAACTGGAGTCAGGGCTTCCCTGATGGGCAGCACAGGTGACCAACAACCAGAGAGGGGAGAGCCTGGGTTGGTATCTTTCAGCTTCCCCCTGCTCCGCTCACCTCCTGCCTCCTGGGGCACCAGATGTGCAAGGTGAATGTTTTCATTTCACTTTCTAGAACAGACAGCAAAGCAGGGAAGCGGCTGAGAGGGTGAGAAGGCGCCCCAGGGGCTTGGGTACAAAGGGGTTGGAGTTGAGCGTGTGGAAATTCAAGGCGAAGGTTAGCCCTGACCTCCCCCAAGGGTTAGGTCCTCTCTGGACCACAGCCCTCTATAAACAGCTTCTCAAACCAAGAAGCGAGGGTGACCAGTAGCAGTTCCCCTCCCCTGCCATTGTAAAAGGCTTCTCTGATTTAATAGACCGTTTGATCCCACCACCTTTACCTCCCACTCCCAAGAAAATTCTTCTCCGTAATGGCACCACAATGTACCCAGTTATTTCAGTCTCAAACCTGGCATCCCCCTCATTTCCTCTCCCCCGACATCTAACTCCATCACCCACCCCACCTGCTCCACATCAGCCCAAATCTGACCTGTTCTCATTTTCCCTGGGTCCAGTCCACCACTATCTCTAAATGGTCTTCCCGTGCTTCCACCTGCGCAGACCTACAGTCCATCCCCCACACAGCAGCCAGCATCATCTTGTTAAAATGTAAATCGGATCCAGGCTTGCCCCTGCATTAAACTCACCAGTGACTTCCCATCACCCTCAGAATGAAATCCCAGCCCGGGGCCCCATGCAGCCTTGCTTCTCGCCAGCCTCAGCCCCTCCAGCCCTGGGTCTCTGTAGTTGCAAGGCTTGGGATTTCGTCCCCTTAGATCCTTGCAGGAGTACGGGGGAGGGGGGCCCTTCTTGTCACTCAGCTCTCATCCCAAATGCCACTTCCTCACAGAGGCCTTCCCTGACCAACCCCTCAAATCATTATTGGAGACCCTATTGAATAGTAATTAGCCGTGTTTTTAACGGGTGATGTATTCACGTTCCAGCACTTAAAAGCCTCCTCCTGACCCTTGCATTCCTAATTCTCTTCATAATTATGATCTTTTTAAATGCATTTGGCTCCGTGTTCCTCCACGAGAGCAGAGGCTTTGTTCCAACCGCCTAGCACGGCACGCCAGCAGGAGCCCAGTAATTGTTGAATGGCTCAATGTTCGGAGCGCAGGGGCCGCTCTGGGACGAGTCGGATCGAAGTGCTACACCTAGGTTTGTTTCCGAGATGGGCCCTTAGAAATGCCCCCCTGGGGCTCCAAAGGGGCAGATGCCACAGCCGCCAGGGCGGAGCGGGTGTGAGCAGAAGGCTGGGAAAGATGGGACGCCGCTAGGCGAGGGACTTCCGCTCAGAGCTACGGCGGAAATGCCGCTCTTTTAACTCTGGGCCGGTCTCTCTTGGTTCCCCCGCCCCTCCGGGTTCTTCCGCCTCCGAGCCGACACAAACCGGTGCGCATGCGCCGTGCCCTGACCTGGAAGCGGCTGGGGCCGGAGCACACGTGTTTCGTGTTTCGGTGAGTGTGGCGGAGATGGAGAGCCGGGATCCCGCCCAGCCGATGTCGCCTGGAGAAGCGACGCAGAGTGGCGCCCGGCCTGCCGACCGCTATGGCCTATTGAAGCACAGTCGCGAGTTCTTGGACTTCTTCTGGGACATTGCGAAGCCTGAGCAGGAGACGCGACTTGCGGCCACGGAGAAGCTGCTGGAGTATCTGCGTGGCAGGCCGAAGGTGGAGTGGCGGGGTCTGGGGCAGAGGCTGCGCATATCCCGGCAAGGAAGCGGCGGCGGGCCCAGGGAGTTGAGACTGGGGGCACGTGGTCGCGAACCTGGATGCCAGGGTGCGCGGGGGCGTGCACCTTGTTGTCACCATTGAACACGAGGGTGTGCTTGGTTCCGCAGGGGTCCGAGATGAAATATGCCCTGAAGCGTCTAATCACGGGACTCGGGGTCGGGCGAGAAACAGCCCGGCCCTGCTACAGTTTGGCCCTGGCACAGGTGAGGTGGTGCTCCTGGCAGGGTCCCAGCCATCCAGGTCAAAATGGTGGGGTATGAGGAGGGCGGGTGTGGTGTCTCAGCTGTGGCGGAGGGGCAGCCCGAGAGAGAGGTCGGGAGTGGCAGAGCAGACTGGAGGCCAACCTGAGGGAGGCCTCTTCATGAAAGTGGAGAAGGTGTGAGCAAGGCCTGGCCAGGTTTTCTATTTGGTGCTTGGGTTGCCCGGCCTCTTAGGTACACTTTCTGGGAGCAGTGAGCGCTGGGTGGGCTCCCTTAGGCCTGCAGAGGCATTCAGCTGATTGGAGTAGACCACTCTCTGAGGCGCCTTGACAAGGGGCAGAGCAATAAAGACCCAGGCCTGCAGGATCAGCCTGAGGGGAGCTCAGACCACGTGCGGAGAGAAGACCCAGTGGCTGAGCATTTCAGACTAGTAATCTAGGGGCCATAGAAGGTACATAGAAGGTGGGACTAGGGACCTGAGGCTTCTTGGGAGAAGTTGAAGGGGGAAGGGAGGTTAAGGTTTGTGAAGACGTAGTTGGGCCACTCTCCTGAACCCTCTTCCTCCTGCCACACAACTCCTGGCAGCTGTTACAGTCTTTTGAAGACCTCCCCTTGTGCAGCATCCTGCAGCAGATACAAGAAAAATATGACCTGCATCAGGTGAAGAAGGTGAGAGTGGGGCCAGGGAGGTCAGCAGCCCCAGGGGTGGGAGGCTTGGGGAATGGGGAGTTCCAGGGCCCCTCATGCCTGTGCCTGGAATCCTTTTCTAGGCAATGCTGAGACCTGCTCTCTTTGCAAACCTGTTTGGAGTGCTCGCCCTCTTTCAGTCAGGTCGGCTGGTGAAGGTAAGAGCTTTGGAGGGACTGGGGGAATGTAGGCTGGCTTGGGATGGGTGGGGGACAGTCGTGTGCCCTGCTCATACCCTCTGTCCCTCTGTGGGGACCAGGACCAGGAGGCACTGATGAAGTCGGTGAAGCTGCTGCAGGCCCTGGCCCAGTACCAAAACCACTTGCAGGAGCAGCCCCGGAAGGCCCTGGTGGACATCCTCTCCGAGGTATGAGCTCCCCAGCTGTGCGGGCCCAGGCAACACTTTGTTACAGAGACATCAAGGGGGCTCGGATGAGAATCTGGAACAGCACTGTTCCATAGAAATACAAAGATGTATAATTTGAAGCGTTTCAGTGACTTTGTTGAAAAGGTAAAAAGAAACAGGTGTCATTTAGTAACATTTAGTGACATTTGACTTTATCTGGTATATCTAAAATATTATTTCAGTGTGCATTGGTATAAAAAAGTGTTGAGATATCTTACACTCTTTTTGTCAGGTGTCTCCAAAATCCAGTGTGTATGTTACACTTAGGCACACCCCTGTTCAGATTAGCCACCTTTCAGGCGCTCAGCAGCCCTGTGTGGCTGTGGCTACCGTATTGGGCAGTGCAGCTCTGGAACTGTGCCTGGCACGTGGCAAGTATATAAAACGTTTGCCATTGTTATCCTGGTCAAGGCTGGCCCCTTGTGGGCCTCCACTGCCCTACTTGGGAAGGTAGCACCCTAGGCCCTTTTGTCACCGAAGAGAAAGGCAGGGGTAGCAGGTCTCCAGGCCAGGGCTTACTGTGCAGTCTTGACCTCAGAGCCAGAAGGACCTGAATTCGAATCCCAGCTCTCCACCTAGGGCTCCTCGTGTATGAAATGAGCTAGTACTCTGAAATACCAAAAAAAGGAATAATTAAAAGGGTAGCTTTGACCGGGCATGGTGGCTCACGCCTGTAATCCCAGAACTTTGGGAGGCCGAGGTGGGCAGATCACTTGAGGTCAGGAGTTCAAGACCAGCCTGGCCAACATGGTGAAACCCCATCTCTACTAAAAATACAAAAATTAGCTGGGTGTGATGGCGCACACCTTTAATCCCACCTGAGGCAGGAGAATTGCTTCAACCTGGGAGGCGGAGGTTGCAGTGAGCCAAGATCACACCACTATACTCAGCCTGGGTGGCAAAGTGAGACTCTGTCTTAAAAAAAAAAAATAAGGGGTGGGGGGCAGGTACCTCCAGGGGCCAGTTAGCGTCAGTGGGATGCTTGTCAAAAACCCCGCTGCCTGGGAATTTGAGTTTTGTTAGCAACTGGCCTCTGATGACTCTGATACCTCACCAGGTGGCCCCGTGTCAGGAGCAGGTAGAACAGGATCCACCAGGCTCACCCCGCAGAGGAAGTCACGATTTCTTCTCCCTCCATCCTTAGGTCTCGAAGGCCACATTGCAGGAGATCCTGCCGGAGGTCCTCAAAGCCGACTTGAATATAATACTCAGCTCCCCTGAACAGCTAGAGCTCTTCCTCCTGGCCCAGCAGAAGGTGCCCTCCAAGCTCAAGAAGCTGGTGGGATCCGTGAACCTATTCTCAGATGAGAATGTCCCCAGGTGTGATGGAGGTGGGCGGATTTGCCCTCCCTGGGGCCAAGGGACTGCATCTGGCCAGGCCCAGATTTGTCGTTTGGCCTGGGGGTGTCCCGGCTGCTCTTGTCACCCTGGCCCTTGCCTGTGAGGCAAGTGTTCCCTGAGTCCCTTGCCCTCCGCAGGCTGGTGAATGTGCTGAAGATGGCCGCCTCCTCTGTGAAGAAGGACCGCAAGCTGCCCGCCATTGCTCTGGACCTGCTCCGCCTGGCACTCAAGGAAGACAAGTTCCCACGGTTCTGGAAGGAGGTGGTGGAACAAGGGCTGCTGAAGATGCAGTTCTGGCCAGCCAGGTGCGGGCGACGCGTGTCCTCTCTCGGCCCCCTTCCCTGTCCGTGAAGTGGGCTAGGCCACTAGTCCTGAGGTTCCCACCAGGGGCACCAAGGGCTCTGACCAGGCTCTGTCCTGCACCCCCTTTAGCTACCTGTGTTTCCGCCTGCTGGGCGCGGCCCTGCCCCTGCTGACCAAGGAGCAGCTGCACCTGGTGATGCAGGGAGACGTGATCCGCCATTACGGGGAGCACGTGTGCACTGCTAAGGTGGGTAATGCCCGTGCAGCTCGACACTGCCAGAAAGGCTAGACGTGGAGCTCTCCCTGCCAAAAAGGGGAGCAGGGCACCTCGGGGGCTTGGCTAGAGCTATGGGTGTCCCCTCCGTCTGGGTAGTGAGCTGCCTGAACCCCTTTCCCTCGGACAAATTTTTTTTTTTTGAGATGAAGTTTTGCTCTTGTCGCCCAGGCTGGAGCGCAGTGGTGAGATCTTGGCTCACTGCAACCTCCGCCTCCCAGGTTCAAGCGATTCTCCTGCCTCAGCCTCCTGAGTAGCTGGGATTACAGGCGCCCAATACCACGCCCAGCTAATTTTTGTATTTTTGGTAGAGACGGGATTTTGCCATGTTGGCCAGGCTGGTCTCGAACTCCTGACCTTAGGTGATCCACCCGCCTTGGCCTCCCAGAGTGCTGGGATTACAGACGTGAGCCACTGTACCTGGCTTCCCTCTGACAGTTTTGATAAAGTCAGGCCCTTCTGCCAGCAGGCCCCCTTGTGGGCATGGATAGCCAGCGGGCTGTTCAGACCTCTCTCCGCCCCCGCCCATGTGGCAGTGATGAGAACAGTCGTCATGACCATGTTTGGGCACCAGTGAGCCTGGTGCCCAGTAAGTGCTGCTGGGTTGACTGTTCTCACCAGCTCATTTTATCTTTGCAGTGAGTTTCAGAGAGCTGTCATTCTGGGTGAGGGGGAGACTTGAAGTATCAGGCAGTGGTTAAGAGCTTGGGTTGGATGGTGGTGCACACCTGTAGTCCCAGTTACTCGGGAGGCTGAGGTGGGAGGATCCCTTGAACCCAGAATTTTGAGGCTGCAGTGAGCCATGATCATGGCACTACATGCCAGGGGCACAAGTCTAAAAAATTGAAAGGAAAACAGCTTGGGCTGTGAAGCCGGACACTATCCCACTGGGAGCCTCTGACCCTGAGAAGTTACCTCTAGGTGTTTTTGTGTCTCACTGTACTCACCTGTGCAATGACAATATTGGCCAACCGCAAAGAGTTGCTAAAAATGCTAAGCTGCCGCCCAAAAAGGCGGAGCGCGGGTGCTGGCACTGAGTAAGCGCGTGAGAGGTGGTTGTTTTTGGTCCCGAAGATGACACGGCTAGGAATTGGCAGCGTGGGCTTTGAACCCAGGTCAGTCTCGCCTCCTAACTACCACTCTGCCCTGCGTTGAGCCAGGAAAACAGGCCATCCCCATCCAGCAAGGCGGAAAGAGGGGCCTTCTGGGGCCGGAGGTGCTGAAGCTGGGGCAGTCAGACCCACAGAGGCCTTGACGCCAGACAAAAGCACTGGGGTGACTGGACTGTTGCAAGTTCAGGCACAGCCTAGCTGTGTACAACAGGAGATTGCCGGGGCTCGATTTAACCTGTAGTGGGCACAAGCCTGGTGGGCTGTTGCCCGCCTGCCCCCGGGCTGTTGGGCTGTTGGGCTGTTGCCCGCCTGCCCCCTTGGCTGTTGGGTTGTTAACCGCCTGCCCCCCTGGGCTGGTGGGCTCAGCGCCATGCCTAACTCTTGCAGCTCCCAAAGCAGTTCAAGTTTGCCCCAGAGATGGACGATTACGTGGGCACCTTCCTAGAGGGGTGCCAGGATGACCCTGAGCGGCAGCTGGCCGTGCTAGTGGCCTTCTCATCTGTCACCAACCAAGGCCTCCCTGTCACGCCTACTTTCTGGCGGGTCGTGCGGTTCCTGAGCCCTCCGGCCCTGCAGGGCTATGTGGCCTGGCTGCGGGCCATGTTTCTCCAGCCAGACCTGGACTCCTTGGTTGACTTCAGCACCAACAACCAGAAGAAAGCCCAGGATTCATCGCTCCACATGTGAGTGGACCTTGGGGGAGGACACCTAATTTAGGAGTTAACTTCCTAGGCCTGCAGAGCCCCGCGACCCAAGCCCGCCCTCCACAGCGTCCTGGCTCTAAACCATGAGAGGAGCGAGGGGGAAGAGCCTTAGCTCTCATATGAGGCCTCAGTTTACTTGTGTGTCCCCACACTGGCGATCGGGATGGGGAGATCTTGGAGTGTTGTCTCTGAGATCAGGCAAAGGAATGTCCTGTTTTTGCTGGTTCTTTTTTTTTTTTTTTTTTTTTTTTGACAGAGTCTCACTCTCTGTGGCCTAAGCTGGAGTGCAGTGGCGTGTGATCTCAGCTCATTGCAACTTCTGCCTCCCGGGTTCAAGCAATCAAGTGATTCTCTGCCTCAGCCTCTCCAGTAGCTGGGACTACAGGCACCCGCCACCACACCCAGCTAATTTTTGTATTTTTAATGGAGATGGGGTTTCACCGTGTTGGTCAGGCTGGTCTCGAACTCCTGACCTCGAGTGATTGGCCAGCCTTGGCCTCCCAAAGTGCTGGGATTACAGGTGTGAGCCACTGGGCCCAGCCTGTTTCTGCCAGTTATAAGTGGCTCACATGACCTCGCCTCCTGCCCCGCTAGGCCTGAGCGAGCTGTGTTCCGGCTGAGGAAATGGATCATCTTTCGATTGGTGAGCATTGTGGACAGCCTGCACCTGGAGATGGAGGAGGCCTTGACTGAGCAGGTGGCCAGGTGCGAGCTGTGCTGGATTCCCAGCTTCCCATGGGCGTGTGGCCAAGGAATGGGGCCCCTTAACTCGTCCTAGTTTGCATCCCCTGGAGCCAGAAGCCTTTGGGTTGAGTCATCAGTGGGGGGCAGGCACAAGGGGACTTGGGAATTCCTCAGGAACCCGTGAAGGGAAGGGGCCCAGGAGGCACCCCAGCTGCAGGGGCCTAAAAGGTTCAGGTGTGCTCTGCGCGCCCTGCAGGCAGCTTTTGCACGTGGGAGGTGTCAGGGAAGCCTTCTGCCCCACACCTGCCTCGTCTGTGCCAGTGCAGAGCTGGGTGCTCACGTCACCCTCAACATGCACGGTTGCAAGAGGGGGCTGTCCCATGTTCGCAGGAGCAGTGACCTGACTTGGCCATGACCACACAGCCTCCCATCTGTTGGTTCCTTGAGAGGGGCACTGACTCTCTCTAGCTCGGGTTAACCCGCGTTCAGCTGGGGATCCAGAGCAGAGAAACGGCCCCTTCCCATCCTAGCCCAGCCCAGCCCCCTCCAGCCTTGCCCGTCAGGCCCCCGAGGACTGTACCCAGGGCAGAAGGGCGGCTCCTCCTCCTCCTGGCCTTGTACCCTCGGTGGTACCATCCAAGGAGGGGAGCCTGTAAAAACCAATGGCAGTGAATGGCTATGGCCACTCTCCCACCCTCCCCAGGTTTTGTTTGTTCCACTCGTTCTTTGTCACAAAGAAGCCCACATCCCAGATCCCTGAGACAAAGCACCCGTTCTCCTTCCCTTTGGAAAACCAGGCCCGAGAGGCTGTCAGCAGTGCCTTCTTCAGGTGAGTCTTGGGCAGCCCAGGAGAGGTCCGAAGGTGGGAAGGCCTTGAGGGCGCCTGCTCCCTCCAGGTCCCCTAAGCTGGGAACAACGGCAGAGGCCCCCGGAGTTCTAGTAGGTCCTGGAGAGGCGGGAGACCGAGCCCTGGGGAGGGCGGAGGGAGGCGGCTACATTGACTCATCTGGTCTGCTGACCCCAAGCCCCATCCCTTGCCCAGTCTGTTGCAGACCCTCAGCACGCAGTTCAAGCAGGCACCGGGCCAGACCCAGGGTGGGCAGCCCTGGACCTACCACCTGGTGCAGTTCGCAGACCTCCTGTTGAATCACAGCCACAACGTGACCACCGTGACACCCTTCACTGCGCAGCAGCGCCAGGCCTGGGACCGGTGAGCACGTGGGATTTCCAGGGGGTGGGCAGGACGCTGCAGTCTGACTGGTGCAGGGGCCTGGGAATCGCCTGTCTCCCCGCAGGATGCTGCAGACTCTGAAGGAGCTGGAGGCCCACTCCGCAGAGGCCAGGGCTGCTGCCTTCCAGCACCTTCTGCTCCTCGTGGGCATCCACCTCCTCAAGGTACTGGGGCCTGGGAGGGAGGGGCTGTGAGCCTGGGGTTCTATGGCACAATGGGCCCCCTACCGAGAGGCTTTTGAGGGCTGTGCGGGTTTCCAGGAAAGGTTCTGGGGGAGTTAAGTTGGGAGGTTTTTGAAGCCAACTTTGTCACAGGTGGAAACATCCCTCCGGCCACTTAGCGGCACCAGCTGGTGTCCTAGGCTTTCCATGCAGGATCTCGTAATCCCCACAGCTTTGAGGCAGACACCCCCTCTCCATGTTTGACATGGAGAAACTAAGACTCAGAGGCAAAGGAGCTTGCACTGTACCCCCTGCTGTGGGAACACCTTCTGGCAACGGGCTCTCCCGCTCGGTTCTTCCCATCAAGAAGCCCTGACCACATTCGAGGCTCAGTACCCTGATTTCTTTTGAGTTTTCTTCTCATGACATAAGCTGCTCTTATTGGGGCTGCTTTAGGTCTTCTGTAGCCTGAGTAGGTGGGTCTCTTGCTTGCTCCCGTCTGGCCACTTGACTGTGGTTGCCTTACTTGCCAGCTTTGGTTATTCTGAGCCCAGCATGTGGATGAGCTGTTTGGGGAAAGGTTGGCCACGATGCCCCTTCCAATTCTTGACGTCAGGCCTTTGATAGCAGCAGAGTCCTGGTGATTCCAGGACACATGTGGAGCCTGCCCCCAGCCTTGGGATCTCCGAACTTGACTTGGACAGAGGAGGCTGCAGTTTGCTGTGTCAGAGCCTTAGATAAAAGGTGCAGCCCTGGCCAGGCTCGGGGCTCGCACCTGTAATCCCAGTACTTCCGGAGACCAAGGCAGGTGATCACGAGGTCAGGAGTTCAAGACCAGCCTGGCCAACAGAGTGAAACCCCTTCTCTACTAAAATACAAAAATTAGCCAGGTGTGGTGGCAGGTGCCTGTAATCCCAGCTACTCAGGAGGGTGAAGCAGGAGAATTGCTTAAACCTGGGAGGCGGAGGTTGCAGTGAGTTGAGATGACACCACTGTACTCCAGCCTGGGCAACAGAACAAGATTCTGTCTTAGAAAAAAAAAAAAAAAGGTGCAGCCCAGAGGAGGACGGGGACCTGCTTGGGCACACAGCCTGGGAGCCGGAGAGCAATGACAAGGGCTTTGGGCTGCTTTGTCCCACCCTGGCCTAAACGTTCAAGCTGCCGACTGCATTATGAGGGGAAAGTCTGCTTTTTAGGTACCAAAGATCACACAGTTTTCAAGAGCTCCTGCACACGCACATGCGCACACCACGCCACCTCACTCGAGTCTGGGGTTATCCCCAGTCAGATGAGTTCAATGTAATTAAATTAGTTAAAACTAATGACTTTCAATTCTGTCTCTCATGCCAAGCCAAGCATGGAGGGAATAATCTAGAATTATGAATTGGGGGCTGGGGCTTGCTGGCTTCTCTGGGACCCTGACCATCCTTGTCAGGTTCTGCCTTTCTTGAGTGTCCAAGGGGGAGTTGGACTCCTTGTCCCCTTCAGGCTTTTGGATCCTGTAACTGCGTATTAGGTGTGAAAAAGCCGTCAGCTAGCTGGGCGCGGGGGCTCACACCTGCAATCCCAGCACTTTGGGAGGCCAAGGGGGGCAAGGGGGTGGATCACGAGGTCAGGAGTTCAAGACCAGCCTGGCCAACATGGTGAAACCCCGTCTCTACTCAAAATACAAAAATTAGCCGGGCATGGTGGTACACGCCTGCAATCCCAGCTACTTGGGAGGCTGAGGCAGGAGAATGGCTTGAACCTGGGAGGCAGAAGTTGTGGTGAGCCGAGATCAGACCACTGTACTCCAGCCTGGGCAATAGAGCGAGACTCCATCTCAAAAGCCCTCAGCTCTTGGGGTGTCCAGCTGGGGTCTTCTGTTCTGGATTGTGGGGGTGACTGGCCAGGGCGGGCCAGTGGCTGGGTGTTGGAGGCTTCTTGATGCCACTGCTGCCATTTGGCCAGCCCCTTGCCTGGTTTAGAAGGGCTGGGGACAGGGCCTGGCCCCAGTGTGTGTCCTACCCTGCCCGCAGTCCCCTGCAGAGAGCTGTGACCTGCTGGGTGACATCCAGACCTGCATCAGGAAAAGTCTGGGAGAGAAGCCCCGCCGGAGCCGCACCAAGACCATCGGTGGGTCCTTGGTCACGAGAGGGACTAGAGTGGTGGGGTGGGGCCAGCGGTCCCCTATCCGGGCTCAACCCCTCCCTCTTGCAGACCCCCAGGAACCCCCGTGGGTAGAGGTGCTGGTGGAGATCTTGCTGGCCCTGTTGGCCCAGCCCAGCCACCTCATGCGCCAGGTGGCCCGGAGCGTGTTTGGCCACATCTGCTCCCACCTGACCCCGCGTGCCCTGCAGCTAATTCTGGATGTGAGTTGGGACCTTTGGGAGTGGAATGTGGGCTGGGGCTCACTGAGCAGCGAGCTGCACCAGGGGTGCCGCTTCAGCCTCCAGCCTCCCTGCCGGGAGCCTGCGGCCGGTGGGAGGGGTCTCAACGAGGCCTTGGCCTGGCCTGGCCGCCTCTCCTAGGCTCCGTTTTCTTCTGGGAAATGGAGGTCTTTGGTCAAGGCTGAGTGGGGCCTGGAGAGGAGGGCGGGGGCTGCAAATGGGTCAGTGGCTGGCACCCCTCCCCAGGTGCTGAACCCCGAGACCAGTGAGGATGAGAATGACCGTGTGGTGGTGACGGACGATTCTGATGAGCGGCGGCTGAAGGGTGCAGAGGTGTTGCCAGCATGGGCCGGGCGGGGGCGGTGGGGAGTGGGACGATCGGGGAGGTGTGTGACGCGCCTGCCTCTACCACACAGGACAAGAGCGAGGAAGGTGAGGACAACAGAAGCTCAGAGAGTGAAGAGGAGAGCGAGGGGGAGGAGAGCGAGGAGGAGGAGCGCGACGGGGACGTGGATCAGGGCTTCCGGGAACAGCTGATGACCGTGCTGCAGGCTGGGAAGGCGCTGGTGAGTGGGGGAGGTGGAGGGGGGGGCGGCCGGGGAGGGCTCGGGTGTCCCCATGTTGTGTGCCTGCCCGAGGCCTGGCTGACCGCTGGGCCTCTGTCCCTCAGGGTGGAGAGGACAGTGAGAACGAGGAGGAGCTGGGGGATGAGGCCATGATGGCCCTGGACCAGAGCCTCGCCAGCCTCTTTGCCGAGCAGAAGCTGCGTATCCAGGCCCGGCGAGACGAGAAGAACAAGCTGCAGAAGGAGAAGGCTCTGCGGCGCGACTTCCAGATCCGGGTGAGCCTGGGGGCGGGCCGCACCCACCCCCGCCTCCCTGTGCGCCCACCCCCGCCTCCCTGTGCGCCCACCCCCGTGTTGCTGACCTGCCCTCCTGGCTGCAGGTGCTGGACCTGGTGGAGGTGCTAGTGACCAAGCAGCCCGAGAATGCCCTGGTCCTGGAGCTGCTGGAGCCGCTGCTGAGCATCATCCGGCGCAGCCTGCGCAGCAGCAGCTCCAAACAGGAGCAGGACCTTCTGCACAAGACGGCGCGCATCTTCACGTGAGCACGGGGGTGCAGGGCGGGCAGGTGTGGCCGGCAGCCCCCAGGCGCAGGAGAGCCAGAGCTCTAGGCTTGCTGTCTGCACAGGAAGGAGAGAGCCAAGCTTCCAGCCTGGGCCCCTAGCTCGCAGGCTCACTGCTCAGCCCTAGAGGCACACGTCACTTAGTGATTCCCACAGTCCTTGCTTCATCCCCGCGTTCTCCCGACACAGTGCCAACAGTGCCCTGGAGCTGGGGTCCATCCCTGCCCTTGACAGTCTCAAGTGGGGCTGTGCCAACAGTGCCCTGGAGCTGGGGTCCATCCCTGCCCTTGACAGTCTCAAGTGGGGCTGTGCTGGGGTGGAGGGGGACAGTGGGTGCACCTGTGGCAGGGGACACCCAACCCAGTCCTCGGAGGTGTAGTGTGCATGGGAGTTTGTCAGGCTGGGAGGCCTTGGGCAGGGCAGAAAGGGAGGAAGAGCATCCTGACGGGAGCTGGTCAGACACGCAGCTGGAAGGTCAGGCAAGCAGCGAGGCCACAGACCCCCGCACCCTCGCAGGCCCTGACCCTAGCGGTGCTGGAGGCCACAGAGGCATTATCAGCAAGAGCAGTGGCGTGGGGAAGGGTCTGAGTCTGGTTTGCCTTTTCAGAAACGGCTGGCAGCGTGGAGAAGGGTTTGGGAGGGGCTGTGCTGGAGGCAGAGGGCCCAGGAGGGAGGCGGTGGCAGGCGTGGGAGAGACAGGCAGGCACCTGGTAGACCTGCCTTCAGAGCTCAGGTGCTGGGGAGGTGAAGGCCTGGGAGCTGGGGCGCTGCGTGGATAGTCAGGAGGGGTGGGGAGTGTGACTGGCAGTGCATTCTTCACAAACCCAGGCCCGCCCGGGCCACGCCTTCTCAGATAGTTCTGCCAGCGTGCGTGGACAGTGTCGTTTGTTGAGCATCCTGCCTCTTGCCCCCATTATATCCCCGGCCCTGCAGGGCCACAGAGGGTTCTAAGCACATGAACCCTTGTCTCGCTTTACAAAAGGCCTGAAGGCCACTGCCCCATGAGAGACAAGTGTAGACAGGAGGGGTGCCCCAGGCAGGCAGTTGGCCCTTGGTGCAGCCTCCACTCAGGGAGCTGTTCTGTTCTCCCCTGGAGCGCCCCTGTCACCCCAGCACTCTGAGCCCACACAGCTTCCAGGCAGCCTGCAGGCGGCCCTGGGCCCTCCTCTGTGGCCTGGGTCGCCTCTGTCGTCTTCTAGGTCTGTTTCCCCACTTATAAAGTGGGACTTGGGTTGGCTCTGCTTGGCGGAGCAGGGTGGACCGAGAATGTTCTGACCAGCTCTCGTCCTCACCACCCACAGGCACCACCTGTGCCGTGCCCGGCGCTACTGCCACGACTTGGGTGAGCGCGCAGGGGCCCTGCACGCCCAGGTGGAGCGGTTGGTGCAGCAGGCTGGCCGCCAGCCCGACTCCCCCACCGCCCTCTACCACTTCAACGCCTCTCTCTACCTGCTCCGGGTCTTGAAGGGCAACACTGCTGAGGGCTGCGTGCATGAGACACAGGAGAAGCAGAAAGCTGGCACTGACCCCAGCCACATGCCCACGGGCCCGCAGGTGAGCAGGGCCTGGCCCAGGAGCAGCCCCAGGCATTTCACAGCCAGGGAGTGGAGGCCGGGACTTCCCCAGGGCCCAACCCTCAGCCTTCTGATGAAGGTAGGCCAGGCTCTGCTCCCATCCCAGGGACCCCTCTCCTGGCCTCACCCAGCTCGCTCTCCCCTGGCCTAGGCTGCCAGCTGCTTGGACTTGAACCTGGTGACCCGGGTGTACTCGACAGCACTGAGCTCCTTCCTGACCAAGCGCAACAGCCCCCTCACAGTTCCCATGTTCCTCAGCCTCTTCTCCCGGCACCCGGTGAGTGTTGGGGCCTGCCCTGCTTCCTCATGGTCCCTGCTCAGCCCAGCCTGCACCTCACAGCCCTTGTCACTCCCCACCAGGTGCTCTGTCAGAGCCTGCTCCCCATCCTGGTCCAGCATATCACGGGCCCGGTGCGGCCCCGTCATCAGGTGAGAGACTTCCCAGCTCCCAGCCCAGGGCCTGTCTGAATTAACCCGCTTAACCCTCTTCTGACTGGATATTGTGAGGCCCCAGAGCGCTGTCCTGGTGAGCACGGGCACAGCTGTCCCTGCCCCACTGGCTTGGCTGTGGGTACATGGTCTCTGAAGGGGGTGGCCGTGCCCTGGCCCCTGCCACACAGTGAACACACAGGAGCTGAGGGGGCAGGGCCAGCCTCACTCCCGCAGCCACTGCTGCCCATCTGGCCACACACAGGATGCCCCTGGTAGTGTCTGCTCTGGTGCCAGGGCTGTTGGGGGCAGGCTGGAGGAAGATGGCACTAAGCCAATAATGGGCAGGAATTGTCCCAACCTGAGGTCCCACCTCTATCCAGCTGGGAGGCCTTGGTGTCCCCACCTGCACACAAAGGCACAGGAGCAGGTAGTCACAGAGCCCAGAGCAGCAGGCAGCCTCACACGCTGCCCACAGCAGTGCCCAGCGGGCCCCCGAGCCCTCATGCATCCCTGAGCCGTGAGCACCCAACGTGCCAAGGCTCCTGCCACCCACCTTTGCCCACCCACAGGCCTGCCTGCTGCTCCAGAAGACCCTGTCCATGCGGGAGGTGAGGTCGTGCTTTGAGGACCCCGAGTGGAAGCAGCTGATGGGCCAGGTCCTAGCAAAGGTCACCGAGGTAACAGCCGGGGGGCGCCCTTTCCCCACCCCCTCAGAATCAGTTCTCCGGGAGACCGATCTCTGGGAAAGAAGTGAGGATTGGAGCCTGAGTCCAGAGTCGGGAGAACTGGGGTTGTCCCAGGAGACGGTCCCTGCCTCTGGGCTTTACTTCCGGCTGGGAAACAGAAAGGCTTTGAGCAGCTCTCCGGAGTGCCTCAGCCTGGCCACCCTTCCCTAGAACTTGCGCGTGCTGGGGGAGGCGCAGACCAAGGCGCAGCATCAGCAGGCACTGTCCTCCCTGGAGCTGCTCAACGTTCTCTTCAGGACCTGCAAACATGAGGTGAGGCGGGGGCCCAGTCCGCGGTCGTGTTCGGGTTCCTCTTGGGGGCCTTGGGGCCTCCCGGCCAGCAGTGCCATGCCCGGGCTGGACTGCAGGGATGGGGGTCATGTGGGGAAACTTCTCAGTGCCTGGGCCAGGGCTCTGGGCTGCCATTTGGGCAGTTACCAAACCATGGATGGGTGAGTGACTTGGGAAGGGACTGTGCCACCCTGTCCTCCTCCTGCAGGGCGGGGTGAGAGGGGGTGGGGTGGCACTGCCACATCCCGTGAGAAAGCCGAGAAGGGGCTGGCAGGGCTGGAGACTGTGGAAGGGTTGGAGAAGATTCAGGGTGAGCAGCCAGGTTTCCAGGCCTGGTACAGGAGTGTGGGCAGCCATCAGGGCAGGGCTGGGAGGCAGCTGGAGGTGGCCATCTGGGTCCCCCGGTCTGGCCCAGAGGGCGGGGTTTGGGAATCTTCAGCATAGGTGCTAGTCAGCCCTTGTGGAGGGAGAGCTTGCCAAGGGGGTGCTGGCAGGCAGAGGCGGGGCCCGGGACGGGGCCTTACAAAACTGGCTGATAGTGAGGAAGCCAGGAGAGCAGGGCTCCCGGAAGCTGGCGGATTCCAACAATAACCCATTCAGGATGTGCAGGAAGGTGGCAGGGTTGGGTGGGGAAGCGCTTTGGCAGCCCCGCGGTGATGGAGTGCTGGGGAGTGGCCCTCTTGGAGGTGGGTGGGCCCGGGCCACTGCTGGAGGGGAGGACACCGAGACTCTGAGACCAGGCCTTTGGCTATGGGAAGGAGGAGAACCAACACCTGGGGCGCGTGTTTCCTCCCTCGGTAAGAGACACGGATGACTTAACAGGCAGAAGGAGAGGCTGAGGCCCAGGAAGGGGCAGGGGTCACTGGTGAGGCAGCAACAGGGCAGAGGTGGGAAGACTGGGAGCCCGCGAGAGGCCCCGCCCTCTGTGGCCCCACAGCTCTGCCTTCCCACCCTCTGCAGAAGCTGACCTTGGACCTGACGGTGCTCCTGGGTGTGCTGCAGGGGCAACAGCAGAGCCTACAGCAGGGGGCACACTCCACCGGCTCCAGCCGCCTGCACGACCTCTACTGGCAGGCCATGAAAACCCTGGGAGTCCAGTAGGTTCTGGGAGGGGGACACACACCTTGGGTAGGGGCTGGGAACACCCTCACGCTGCTGCACACACACACACGCTGCACACACGCTGCTGCACACGCACACTGCACACGCATGCTGCTGCACACACATGCACTCAAGCGCATTCTCAGATGTGGGAGCTGTAGGACCCTCACAGGACCCTCGCAGGAGCCTCGCAGGACCCTCGCAGGACCCAGGGGCCTCGCAGGACCCTCATAGGACCCTCACGGGACCCTCATAGGGGCCTCACAGAACCTAGGGGCCTCAGAGGACCCTCAGAATCCAGGTGGAGGTAGCAGTCGCGGTGGCGGTGGCTGCTGCCCTCGATGGGCACCTTCTAACCTTGCTCACTTCCCTTCAGGCGCCCCAAGTTGGAGAAGAAGGATGCCAAGGAGATCCCCAGTGCCACCCAGAGCCCCATCAGTAAGAAGCGGAAGAAAAAGGGATTCTTGCCAGAGACGAAGAAGCGCAAGAAACGCAAGTCAGAGGATGGCACGCCAGCGGAGGATGGCACACCTGCAGCCACCGGCGGGAGCCAGCCCCCCAGCATGGGCAGGAAGAAGAGGAACAGGACAAAGGCTAAGGTCCCAGCCCAGGCAAACGGGACGCCAACCACCAAGAGTCCAGCCCCTGGCGCCCCCACCCGGAGCCCCAGCACCCCTGCCAAATCCCCAAAACTGCAGAAGAAAAACCAGAAGCCGTCCCAGGTGAATGGAGCTCCCGGGTCCCCCACGGAACCTGCAGGCCAAAAGCAGCATCAGAAGGCTCTTCCCAAAAAGGGGGTCTTGGGCAAATCACCACTGTCCGCGCTGGCACGGAAAAAGGCAAGGCTGTCTTTGGTCATCAGGAGTCCCAGCCTGCTTCAGAGTGGGGCCAAGAAGAAAGCACAGGTGAGGAAGGCAGGGAAGCCCTGAGCACAGGTACGGGCCCCCCTCAGCCCCTGCCTCCATCTGCCTGAGACGCCTATTTTTTTTTTTTTTTTTTAAACCATGATTTTAATACGCAAGCTGTTTCTAAGGCGCTGCCACTGGGGAGGGTGGCTGTTGCCGCCTGCCCGGGCATCCTGCTCTGGCAAGCACAGCCTGAGCCATTCCTGCAGGGGTCCCAGGGTGCAGAGACCTCCCCACCCCCGGTTCTGGGCTGGGACCCTGGCTCCAGGGCCATGTCCAGGGCTCTGGTGTTTGCCTGGGTTGGTGCAGGTTGATGTGCTGGCTGCAGGCAGGTGTGACCATCTCTCGTGCCTGCCACCTCTTTGCCCCCAGGCTTTTTTGCTGTGAGGGAGCCACCAGGGGGTGATTTAAATAGGTTTATTTCTTCATTTACAAGAGGAATATATTTGGCTTCTCTCTTAAGACTCTGAGATTCACAATCAGCAGCTCTAAAAAATAAAGGAGCAGTTTGGCTTCCGGAAGGAAGAGGAGGCAACACTCGGACCTGGTTCTTGTACAACAAGAAAACATCGCTGGGGCCCCGCTGAGGCTGGAGTGGGGGTGGAGGCTGGTCTTTGGAGGATGCCACCCCCACCCCATCCTCTTGTCAGGCCCTCGGGGTACCCCAGAGCTTGGTGGGTGAGTATTCCACCTGCTTACACACCACTGAAGCCACAGCCAGCCAGTAACTAAGGGGCAAGAAGAGCATTGTCCAAGCTGGCTCTTGGGGGGTCCCCCATTGGCCACAAGGCCTCACCCCCCACCCCACCCCCGCACCAGAACCACCTTGATTGCAGCAGAAGTGCAGGGAGTGGGTGACGCAGGGGGCTAAGCTCCCCCAAAGCGGGTTGGGGCTGGTGTGAAGTTGGCAGCTGCATCCTGGTGTGTGCATGGATGGGAGGTGGGTGATCGAAGGCCTGGCCCCCCCCTGGGGTCACTTGGTGGAATGCCAGCAGCCAGTGTTTGGGTAGGGGCCGCCTCTCCCGGGGCCTCAGCCTCAGCTCTGGGGCAGGAAGCTTTGTGGATAGCTGCTTCCTCCAGCAGCCGGAGCCCTGGCTACTGCCCCATGGATTCTGGGAATGGTCTCCTGGGCCCTGCCCCTGGAAAAGGCTCAGCTCAGCCTCGGGGAAGGAGTGGGGTCCTGGCTTGGGGGGTGGTGGCAGGGAGAGAAGCCCTGCAGAGTTGGGCTGGTGTGCACCTGCCAGAGACCTTGAGCCTGGGGGCACAGGTGGTGTACAGCTGCAGCCAGGGCCTTCACCCCTGGTGATGCCAGCTTGTCAGAACAGTCCCCATCTGGGACCTCCAGGCTGGGAGCCAACCCGAGACAGTGAGACAGTGTCCTCCAGGGAGTACCCAGAGACTTGGGCGCCCAGCTTCATTTGCCAGGTTGCGTCCAATATCCCCAAGGTCCGAGGCCCAGCTGAGCAGTGGTCCCTGCATACCAGGCCCTCGCGTGAGCCTCAAAGCCGGGACTGCCGCCCTGAGGCCTGGGCCACCTGCTCTCCGTATGGTCCAGGGTCTGTTGAGTCTTCAAAGCTGCAGATCGTGCTTTGCCCAGCAAGTTGTGTGGGAAAGTCCAGCCCCCTGGCCCTTCGTTCCAGGGAGGGCAGGGACTTGCCCAAGATCACATAAGCTGGTGGCAGGCCAGGCTCTCCCCGGACACCCACTTGGGGCTGTCTTCTTCCTTGGCCCCAGGGGCCCTGCGGCCCAAACCTAGGGCTGGGAACCTGTCCAACCGTGTGGCTCCAACACACACATCCTTCCAGGGTAACTGAGGACACAGCCTCTTCTTGATGCCAGGGCCACTCAGCAGGCCTGGGCCAGAGAGGGTGGGTGCCTAGCCGTGGATCACACAGAAAGCTTTGGGGCAGCCCAGCCGGTCCCGGACGCTGTAGGACACCTCCCAGACGAGGTGGGAGTGTGGGTTCTTCATTGTCCCAATGGCACCTGGGGAAAGGGGTGTCAGGTCAGCAGTGGGGCTTAGTGGGGCCTGTGCCAAGGCTGCCCTCCCTCCTTCCCTTTTCTTGCTGTTTGGAGACGCAAGCCTTCTCCTGGACCTGCAGCTGTGACCCTGGGTCTCGTGCTGCTGGGAAGCTATAACTCCCAGAGGGAAGGGCCAAGGAGTCAGGCCCTGGTACATCCAGGAGGATTTGGGAGAACAGAAGTCCGGACAGAGTGAGGAGTTCCTGGCCAGTCCTGGCCCTGATCTATGCGAGGCCCCACCCAGCCCTTGAAAGGAAGGAAAGGGGAGCTAATTTACTGGAAGGAGCAGCCTGCTGTCCCACCCATGGCTCCATCAGTAAATTCTGGCAACATCTTCAGAGACAAAGCCCAGAGTTGGTGGGATGTGCTGGGGTAGGAGGTGACTCTGGAGGAAAAGTGCTCCCTGTTGCCTAACCCTGGCCTTCCCCTTTCCTTAGGGAGCCCCCACGTGCCTCCCGGCCTGCACTCACCACCTCAGACTTTCACAGATGCGGGCGGCATCGCCAGCTGGTTCACCCTGGGGGAGAGACGGGCGGGGGTCAGGGTGGTGCATCAGCGGGGGCCGGGCCCGGGCACTGCTCTGGCACATCGTGTCGTGGGGGCCAGCTGACCGGAGGTGCTGGGCAGGGACCTCGTCAGCCCCAGGGGGAGATGGGAGAGCCCAGGGGTGGGGAGAGGAGAGAGAGAGGAGTAAAGAGGAAAGGAGAAAGAAGTCAGAAAGTAAGAGGAAGGGGAGGGGCCCCAGCTTTGAAAACCACTAAGTCCAGAGACAAACCCAAGTCTGGATCCACCAGACACCCCCGTGGCCTCCCACAGCTCCAGGCTGACCCTGGCACTGGGCCTCAGGGCTGGACCCCAGCAACCAGTGGGTGCACTGAGTGCATGGGAGGTCTGTACCCTCCCCGCCCCACCCCAGGGCAGGGCTCACGGTGGCTATCACGGTCCCTGCTTCCCGGCGGTGCAGCAGGGCCTCCCCTCCCCCCCACTCACTGCTGCTCAGCCCTGGCGCGGTCGCTGACGAAGAAGAGCGCAGTGGCGAGGAAGAACATGCCGCCCAGGACCACGACGAAAGGGCAGAGCATGAGCGCGTAGCCCAGGCTCAGGAACTCCCAGAGCGGGGAGTCCTTAGTGCTCTGGCGGATCAGGTCTGAGATCTGCGAGGATTTGGGGGTGGATGTCAGGGCAGAGCCCTCCTGCAGTCCCCCAGCCTGCCCTGGCCAGCCCCACCCCGGGGCTACTCACAAAGCCAATGAGGTAGGGGCTCCCGGCGTCCCCCAGCAGGTGGGAGGTGAAGCTCTGCAAGGCCACGGCAGTGGCGCGCCGCGTGGGGATGACCACGTACTGCGGAACAGGCGGGCAGGTCAGCGGCCAGAGGAGAAAGGCTCACGCGCTTGGCCCTGGCCCCGGGCCGTGGCACTTCTGAAGCCCCCACACCCTCAGACTCACTCCTGCCCTACGTCTTGACACCTCTCTCCCCTGGGCCCTGCCCTCCTCCCCACAGTCCCCTCTACTGCCCACCCCACCAGCCTGGCTGCTTCTCTCCTGCCAGTCACCCTTCTCCTCCCTGAGCCCCTCCCACCCACACACAGCTGCAGTCACCCTCACCCCAGGGGCTTCCACACCTCCAACCCAGACCACTGCGACCTGCCCCATACTGAAAGCGTCATTGGCCTCAAACCTGCTGTGCCCCCAGCACACCCCTCTGAAATTGGAATCTTCACCTCCCTCCCAGCTACATGCAGTTAAGGAATGATACTTTGGGGGTTGCCCAGGCGCCAGTCACTAGAGGCCATTAGCCCAGAGCCCTCCGAGCCTCGGAGTACCCGAGCCATCAGGAACGGCCATGCTGCTGCCTCTCCAGCGCGGCTCCTGCTCCATTCCTGAGACCAGGGTGCCTTGGCTTCTGCCCTTGGACCTGGGTCACGGGGACACTGAGGTCTAGAGAGGCACATGTTCCCGAGGGAACCTGAACCCCCGCCACAGCCATTTGTCCTCACCTCCCATCAAGCTAAAGACCCATCTTGGTTCCCCTCCCTGAGGACCAAGCCAGGCCTCGACTGGCCTGGGACAGGAGCTGGTGAGGCAGGCCCCTGCCTGCAAGAGCCTCCGCTCGCACCCGCGGGCACCCTCAGCACCAAATGCCGGCACTGCTGGGCCCCAGACCCCCATCAGACCAAGCAGGCCCCAACCTACAGGAGGTTGGCTTCAAAGCTGGGCAGGCCAGAGTCAGACAGGAGGGGCTGGGGTGGGGGCGGGACAGGCACAGCCAGCTCTGTGGGTGCCCAGGCAGCCCCTGTTCCCCGAGCTCCAGCTGCCTCGCCTCTTTGGAGTGCCAGCCTTAGTGGGCATTGTGTGCAAGCAACCAGCACCCACGGGGCACCCCGTTGCGGGAGAGGTGGGGGGCGGGTGGAAAAGGGCCTGAATCTGATGAAACGAGTGGCCCTGTTTCCAGCAGGAATAAACTGTTACACTTAATAAACCGGGACGCGATTTCCCCGGGACCCTGACCCTGCCGGCAGCTGTCAGGCGCTCCCTGGGGGTGGAGGCAGGAGAGGGGGTCCTGCCCAGCACCAAGAGCACTTAATCTGCACGGACTCCTCCCTTCACTCTGGGCCTGTGCAGTGACCCTGGCGCACCCCTGCCACCGCCTGGCTCCGTGCTGAGGCTCTGAACTGCGCCAGGCCTCCCCACCACCACCGCAGCCCATGGACTCGGGAGGACACAGAGCCACCCCAGGGGGAAGCGGATACGCCCGGAGGCTCAGGGTGGGGTAAGGCAGGCTTCCCGAAGTGCAGGGGCCGCAGTGCCTGGCACACTCATCTCCCGGGCTGTCCCATGCTGGGGCACCCAAACCCGGGCACCCTGAGAATCCACCCGAGTCCTTCCTCTCTGCCCCAGAGCCTGCCCTGACACCTCCCAGACACTCTCTCCTGTCCCCTCCTGACCCTGGCCAGGCTGACCCTTGGGCACAGGACCAAGTGTCACACTCACCCCTGCCACGCCCAGAGGGCCATGAACTCCTAGCTCCACTCCTGGCTCCTCCCAGGGTGCTCCCATCCCCACCCAGGGACACAAGCCCCTGCTGGCCGCTCAAGACAGCCCTTTGTCCCCAGCTGGCTGGGCTAGAGCCCATTGTTGGCCCTGTGAAGACAGCCTCTGTCCGCCCAGCCCCAGCCGCAGGCACGCCTGGGAGCCAGGCTGAGTAGAGAGGGCAGAGCCTATGGATGCTCAGACCCAGCGGGGGGAGGAGGGCGGGCAGGCAGCGCCACCTCAGTGCCAGCCTGGCACCGCCAGCCTCCCAGCCACTAACCTGAGCCTCGAGATGCCCCCTCCCCCTCAGTCTCCACATGGTGCTCTGTCTGCCTGCCCAACCCTGTTTTCCAGCCCTGGCCAGAGGCAGACCCCAAACTCTCTGATCCCCTCCCTGCCTCTGGGTTCACGTTCCTGGCAGGCCTGCCTTCCTACCAGCTCTCCCGCCCCTTCACCCGCCCTCCCCAGGCACCCCTGTGAGGTCAAGAGGCCTGGGTCAGCAGCACAAGGTGACCTCGGCCTGCCTGGCTCACCATGAGGATGTCTGCAGTGATGGCCCAGTTAGAAAACAGCAGCGTCTCCCCGACGAAGATACAGATCTGCCGGGGAGAAGGCAAAGCCACCATCAGCGGTCCCTCCATCCGCAGCAACCACAGTCTCTGTTCCCTACACACTGGCTGCTGGCAGGGAGCCCACAAAACCTCACACCCCTCCCGGGCCCACATCCATTCATGGGCTATCCAGAGACTTCAAGCCATGCCCACGGCCCTGAGGCACCCAGAGGCCCTGGACAGGCTGTGTGTGGCCAGGCTGGGGATGAGCAGGGGCAGCCAGAGAATAGGAGCCTCCCCGAGGGAAGGGAACATCCAGTAAGTCAGACCGAATGTCCTGTTCCAGACCCTCCCGCGGCCCAGGCCCAGCTCCCCCAGCACCCTTGACCCCCGCTGCACTCACATAGGCTCCTACGATGCTGCTCTTGGCAGCCACGAAGATCAGGCAGATGAAGATGGCAGAGCCCAGCATGCCCACGGCACACACCAGTGGGTCGGCCCGCTGGGTCTTCAGGCGGCACCAGCGCGTGGCTCCTGCCCCCGTGACCACGCCCAGAAATCCCGTAAAGCAGGTGATGGCCCCAAAGATGAGGCTGTGGGGACAGAGGATGGTGGCGCACGAGTTGAGGCGGCTCAGGGCTAAGGCTGAGGGGCTCTCCTGTCCGAGGTCCCTCACCAGCCCTGGGCCCACCCCGCGGGGCCCCACCTGTCCTTGGCCCCACAGGGCGGGCTGTTGCACGTCTCTGCTGTCTTCTGCACAACTTGGGCGCGGTGCAGGTAGAGCGGGATCCACATGCCCAGGGCCCCCGTGGCGAAGGAGACAGCCGACGTGGCCAGGGAGGAGAAGACGTAGCTGCGGCTGGGGAGAGGCCAGGCAGTGACACTGAGCTCAGGGACCTCCTTCACCCCCCTAGGCAGCCCCATGCACTGGGGGAACAGGAGGCCCCCAAATGCCTCGTCTTACAGGCTCCAGGGGTGAGGGTTCAGGCTGCAGGAATAATCGATTCTGGGGCCAAAATGTCCCTCCCAGCACTGAGACAGCAGAGGTGGGGTGTCTGGCTGAGGGTGCTAGTGGGCTGCCCTGCAGGGACAGGCCCTCTCATCTCAGCACCCCTCTCTCTTCCCACCAGACCCCTTCCCGCGGTACTCACTTTCGAATCAGGGCCTTCATATCTCGGAGCCATGAGGTCCGGGCCTTGAGCTGGTCCCCGAGCTGGTCGGCATGACCCCTTTTAGTGGCTGGGACCAGAATGAGGATGAGTGTTCCTGTGATCATGCCCAGGACAGGGGACACCTGCCAGAGAGCAGGAAGTTAGGACACCAGGGCCCAGTGAGCCTCGTCCCTGCTGCAGAAGGAGGGACTCAGGCAAGCCCATGCCTTCTCTGGGCCATAGGCTTCTCCTCTGAGCAGGTATCTGCCCAGCCTTCCTAATTGGGCTGCTGAGAAAAGCTGGGGCTGAGGTCGGTCAAGAGACTGGAGGCTTGAGATGGCCTGTCCAGACCAGGGGCAGGACCAGAGGTGGGAAGGTGCAGGGAAGCCAGACAGACTGAAGGAAGAAGGAGGGGTGGGTGAGTGGAGCAGTGGGTGGATAGATAGAGAAGAGATGGCTAAAGAGGTTGATGGAGAGATGGACAGAGATAGATGGAGGGATGGACGGATAGATGGACAGATGGACAGACGGATGGACAGATGGATGAACGGATAGATAGACGGACGGATGGTGGATGGATGGACAGACGGATGGAAAATAAGTAGATAGCCAGATGGGATGATGACTTTGAGGGAGGAGAAAATTCCTGGAGCAGGTTCCCCACGTAGGTTCCTCAGCCGCAGGGCCCTGGGAAGGTGCTGTTTGGGTATGAAGCGCTGGACTGACAGATCAAGTGGGCTGGCATTTGGTGGGGGCCCGATGCAGGCCCCACAGAGGCTCCCGAGCCCTTTTGGATCTTCCCCGTTTCCAGCCCATTTTCCAGAACAGAACCTCCAAGGCCCCAGGCTTCTCTCCGGGTGGGAGGGTAACACCCTGGCAGCCTGGATTCCATCTCACCAGCCCCGCAGAACACTCTCCCCCATGCCCCCGGGACTGGGAGCCCCTGGGTTGGGGAGTTCCTCTGCCTGCCACCTCCCTCTCGCCTCCCCATCCCCCCACCCCACTAAGAAATTCCACGGAGGCCGCTTCCTTCCTGCTTTTAGGAAAAAACACTTTGTCTTAAGCTTCCGCTCCTCCGAGAGACGAGGGATCTCTGTTTCCTCCGATTGCGCTGTCCTGGGGCCTTGGTAACTTGCCCCAAACCCAGCGAGACCGGAAGTGGCTCCAGACTCTGGGGCCCCCACACAGAGGTCTTGTCCCAGCCTTACCCTAGCACAGCGCCAGGGCTGGAGGCAGGAAGCACCGCCATGGACCTGGAATTTCCTGACGTGGTGGGAGAATCCTTGGTTCTCTCAACCTGGGACTCCCGGGTGGGAGATTCCAACCCTCAGCCTGGGGGCCCCGAGGGCGGCGGGGCTGTGTCTGGCTCTGACACCTCAATCGGGACATCTGAGCGCTCTGATACCTCAATCTGGACTAATCTGGAAGGGCAGGGATTTCAGAGTCCACGCAGCCAGGGGAGGAATCCTGGAGGCCTAGGTCCTAGCCTGGATTACATCTCTGGGCAACCCTGGGGCGAGGTCTGGACCGGAGGGTGTCCTCATGGGAAGGGACGTAGGGCTTACCCGCAATGCCCAGTGCCAGTCTCCGGCTGCCTGCTTCACGCTGGAGCCAGTAATGTAGCCCAGGCCACTGCAGAGAAGAGACACACGTCAGGCTGAGCAGAGACAGGGGCTGGGGACAGGGAGTGCCCGCTGGTCTGCAAGGCAGGCTGCCCACCCTCCCCACCCAGCCAGCTGGCCAGGGAGCAGGTCCAGGAGATTCTCAAAGGCTGACCGCCCACATGTTTAGCTCTCTGAGGACGCCTGCCTGGGCTAGAACCCCAGGGAGTGGGAGAACTCAGAAGTCCAAGGGAACCTTGCCCAGATCCTCACCCAGACCCTGGCATCTCCGGCTCTCACCTGCCCAGTGGGATGGCGAAGTAGAAGACGGACAGCATGAGCGTACGCGTGTTCTTGGTGAAGAGGTCGCCAATGATAGTGGGGGCGATGGTGGAGTAGCTGGCCTCCCCGATGCCCACCAGCCCCCGGGACAGGACCAGCAGCCAGAAGTACTGTGAGGAGGGGTGGAGGATGCTGGGGGACCGACTACCCACCGTCTGCCTGTCATCCCTTGTTCCCACTTTGCTCCCTCCCCCTGCAGGGCCCAGGAGCCAGGGGAGAGAAGGGTGAGGGTGCTGGTGGGCTGCACCTCCGTAAAGACCACCTCCCCCAGCCACTCCGGGCCTCAGTTTGCCCCTCTGTATAGTGGGTCTGACGGGGCCTGGCCGGCCCAGTGCTGGTATGGGACGGGACTATCCCAGCTTGAGAGTGGTATGGCCCAGGTAGGCCCCCTCTGTCCTCATAGGCACTGGGGACACAAGCCTATGTCTCCACTACTCCACCAACTGGGAGACCCCTCCCTGGTTCTGACTTCACTTCGGGAGCCTCAAGCCACCACCCTCCACTCTGTGTGTCTCTCCCAAGCCGGGTGGCTAGGCCAACCCTGGCAGCACTGAGGGCCCAGTGTGAAGTGGGGAGTGGGGAGTGGGGCGTTGGCAGGGAAGCCCAGGGGACCCAGAGCCCCTCCCCCTGCACACACCAAAGGGCAAAGCCCAGCTGAGTGGGGAAGGGTGGGGCCCTGCCAGCTGCTGGTAGCATGACCCCTTTGATGTGGACCTGCTCCCTCCGTCCCCCAGCTGCCCGGGGCCTGAGAACCCAGCCTGGTCATCTTTCCCCAGCCCCACCCTGGCCACCCATCTGGCCAGCATCGCCCGCGTCCAGCCCTCCCCCGGGTCTCCCTGACTTCCCTCCATCTGCTCACCTCGCTCCTGGCTTGCTGTGCCTGCAGGTGCTGCCTGGGTTGGCCCATCTCTGACCCCTTCATGCTTGTCTCTCTTTTTCCATCTCCCCATTTGCCCTTAGCTCCTCGCCTCTGTTTCTCTTCCTGGGAATCACCTGCCTACAGCCTTGGCCTGTTTTTCTGGTGGGTCATTTGTCTCTTTTGCATTGATTTCTTTTTTTTTCTTCTTTTTTCAGATGGAGTCTTCCTCTGTCACTCAGGCTGGAGTGCAGTGGCGCGATCTCACTCACTGCAACCTCTGCCCCCCGGGTTCAAGCGATTCTCCTGCCTCAGCCTCCTGAGGAGGTGGGATTATAGGCACCCGACACCACACCCAGCTAATTTTTGAATTTTTGTAGAGACGGGGTTTTGCCATGTTGGCCAGGCTGCTCTTGATCTGCCTGCCTCAGCCTCCCAAAGTGCTGGGATTACAGGCGTGGGCCACCACATCCGGCCCCCTGTGTGCTTTTAAAGAACAAACATGAGGCTGGGCATGGGGGCTCGTGCCTATAATCCCAGCACTTTAGGAGGCTGAGGCAGGAGGATTGCTTGAGGCCAGGAGTTCGAGACCAGCCTGGGTAACATAGTGAGACCTCGTCTCTAAAAAAATTTAAAAATAAGATAAAAATCGGGCCAGGCGCAGTGGCTCACGCCTGTAATCCCAGCACTTTGGGAGGCTGAGTCGGGTGGATCACAAGGCCAGGAGTTCAAGACCAGCCTGGCCAAGATGGTGAAGCCCCATCTCTACTAAAAATACAAAAATTAGCCGGGTGTGTTGGCGGGTGCCTGTGATCCCAGCTACTGGAGAGGCTGAGGCAGAGAGTTGCTTGAACTCGGGAGGTGGAGGTTGCAGTGAGCCAAGATTGCGCCACTGCACTCCAGCCTGGGTGACAGAGCAAGACTCCATTTCAAAAAAAAAAAAGAAAAGATAAAAATTAGCGGGATCATGATGCATCCTAGCTACTTAGGAGACTGAGACAGGAGGATCAGTTGAGCCCAGGAAGTCAAGCCTGCAGTGAGCTGTGATCACACCACTGCATATCAGCCTAGGTGACAGAGCGAGACCCTGTCTCAAAAACACATTTAAGGCTGGGCATGGTGGGCTCACATCTGTAATCCCAGCACTTTGGGAAGTCAAGGCAAGTGGATCACCTGAGGTCAGGAGTTCGAGACCAGCCTGGCCAACACGGTGAAAACCCTTCTCTACTAAAAATACAAAAATTAGCTGGGCATGGTGGCAGTCGCCTATAATCGCAGCTACGCGGGAGGCTGAGGCAGGAGAATCGCTTGAACCTGGTGGTGGAGGAGGGGGTGGCAGAGGTTGCAGTGAGCCGAGATTGTGCCACTGCACTCCAGCCTGGGTGAAAGAGCGAAACTCTGTCTCAAAATAAACAATATTTAAAAATAAAATGGACATGAAAGGAAACCCTCCACGCATCTTATCCTGTAACTTGCTTTTGCTCCCTCATTCTTATCTTTTTGAAACCCATTTATGCTGGTTAATTAAGATCTAGTTCATTCTTTTCCTGTTGAGTCTCACAGGGCCCGGCACAGTGGCTCACACCTATAATTCCAGCACTTTAGGAGGCTGAGGCGGTAGGATCACCTGAGGTCAGGAGTTCCAGACTAGCCTTGTCAACATGGTGAAACCCCATCTCTATTAAAAATACAAAAATTAGCTGGGTGTGGTGGCGCGTGCCTGTAATCCCAGCTACTTGGGAGGCTGAGGCAGGAGAATCGCTTGAACCCGGGAGGCGGAGGTTGCAGTGAACCCAGATTGTGCCATTGCACTCCAGCCTGGGCAGCAAGAGCGAAACTCCGTCTAAAAAAAAAAGAAAAGAGTCATACATACACACCATTAATCTGTGCACACCCAGTGATGGTCATTTAGATTGCTTCCTTTTTTTTTTTTTTTGGCTATTCCAGTGCTTCTTACATGCATGTGTCTACAAGCTGGAGTTTCTCTCTTGGGTGTATACCCCAAGTAGAAGGCTGGGCCACGGGAGATAAACAGAGTTTTACAATATCCTGCCGTTTCGCTCTCCAAAGAGCCTCTACCAATTTACACTCCCACCAGCAGGGCTGGAGTCCCCGATTCCCCACAGCTTTGATCACACTTGGTATTGTCAGCCTTTTTAATTGTTGCCAATCTGACGGGTGTGAAATGGGATCTCATTGTTGTTCTAATTTGCATTTCCCTGGTTACTAGAGAAGCTGAGCCCTGTCTCTTCCTACACGTATTGGCCGTTTGGGTGTCTTCTCCTGAAACTGTCTGTAGCTATCCCGTGCCCATTTTTCTACTGAGTTATTTGTCTTTTTCTTGTTGATTTATAGTTCTAGATTTTAAGAGCTTGCTTTTTGCTTTACTTTCCCCTATCGGGACTTTATTCTGCAAGATGGTTTGAAACACAGGCCAAACTTTTCTTTCAATCCAGATGGATAGATAGTTCTTCCCAAACCACTCATTTGAGATGCAACTTTCATCCTACACTAAATCCCCACAGAAATGAGGACTCTGGCTCATTGATCTTAGTCCATCCCTCTGCTGTTTTAGTTACAATCACTGTATTTTGATAACTGAGAGGCAAATCCCCTTTCACTGTTATTTTTTCACAATGTTCTTGGCTGTTCCTGGGCATTTTCTCTGCCAAATTAACTTCAGAATCACATTGCCAAAGTCTACCAGAAACCCCTATGGGATGCAAATTGTGATTTCAGTGCATTTATGGATTCACTGGAGGTGACCTGTTTCTCTCTCTGCCTTTGCTTATCTTCTGTCTCCTTCCACACACCCAGAGATGGACCCGGACCTGGCATGGTGGTCCTAGACTTACTGGTCAGTCCCAGGAGCAGCCTCAGAGGTTGGTGACCAGGGGCCTGGCCAGGGGCAAGACAAGGTCCTGAGGGGCCCTAGAGGCCTCTGGTCCAGTCCTTATTTTTGACTGTGGCCACCAGGCTCTGCTTGCCATCCTGGGCCTGGAGCTTTACCTGACCTGACCCTCCTCTGCGAAGCTGCCCCATGAAGCAAGGATGTCCTTGGCAAACCTGCTGATTCTCTCTGCCCTCCCTCCAATGTCCCCACCATCAACCCAAATCTGACCCCGCCATTGTTCTTCAAACTTTTCCAGAGCTCAGCACTGCCACAGAAGGAAGCCCAGGCCCTCTAGCCTGGCATTCAAGGTTCTCCATGACCCAGTCCCTGCTTTCTTTCCAGTGAAAATGCAATCCTCAATCTTTCTTTCTTTTTCTTTTTTTTTTTTTGAGATGGAGTTTTGCTCTTGTCACCCAGGCTGGAGTGCAGTGGTGCGATCTCTGCTCACTGCAACCTCTGCCTTCGAGGTTCAAGCGATTCTCCTGCCTCAGCCTCCCAAGTAGCTGGGATTATAGGCATGCACCACCATGCCTGGCTAATTTTTGTATTTTTAGTAGAGATGGGGTTTCTCCATGTTGGCCAGGCTGGTCTCGAACTCCTGACCTCAGGGGATCCACCCGCCTTGGCCTTCCAAAGTGCTGGGATTACAGGCATGAACCATCACACCTGGCCCAATCCTCAATCTTTCAACACACTCCACCATTTCTGCATCAGTGGGTTGGCTCCCTCTGCCCATGCTACCTTCACCAAAAGGCCTGATCTCACAGTCCTGCCTGCCCAGCGCAAACGCCACCTCCTCCAGGAAGCCCTCCCTGACCCCACGGATTTCAAGAGACTGTTGTCTCTTTAGTGAGGACTCTCAGCACTTTTTCTACACCTCTTGAAGGCTCTGAACACAGGAGTTCCTGTCAAATCTTCCTACCCCGAAGCCTGGGTGCTCCCAAGGACAGGGCTATCCTGAAAGCTCCTTGAAGACAGATCATGCTCTCCCCTTCTTCCTTCATCTTTCTCTATAGCAGCCGGCATGTGATTGCCACTCTCTGCTTGAATACGCCTCGAGATGGGGAACTCACTACCTCACAAGGCAACAGTCTCATCTTTGGAAGGAGGAACAGAAACAATGACTGGCTGAGCACTCGCCGTGTTCCAGGGTCTGGACCTTCACAGCTCAGCTACTTCTCAAGGGAAACCTTCGAGTTGGGAAGTATTATCCCCATTTTAAAGATGAGGAAACTGAGGCTCAGAGACATTAAGTTCCTCCAGGTCACAAAGCTGAGTAGGAAACAAAGTTGGGATATTCAAGCCCAGGCCTGTGGGAGCTAAATGAGAAGACTCTTGTTTGTGTTGAATTGATATTTGCTTCTCTGGGATGTCGATCTAAGAAGTCAGCTGGTCATCAGACCAAGCACAAACTGAGCAAGAACCAGAGAGGGGTAGTGACTCCCCCAGGGTCACACAGCCAGATAATGGCAGAGCCAGGGCTAGGACTCAAGGCCCTCACTCCTAGGCCAGACTTGTTCTTTGCATCCATCCCAAATCAGAGGGATGCTCAGAAAGAGTCAGGAGGCCACATGGGCTGGAAGGCTCTCAGGTCAGGCCAGCGTGGGGAAGGCCCCAGCCGCAGGGCTGGTTTATAAAAATACCCGAAGACCACCTGTCCTTCTGCACTGGGAAGACAGTGGGGTTCAAGCAAAGGAGCTGGAAGCCCTGGGCTGGATTCTTCAACAGGCCAATAAGACTAGCCACTCGCTGGAGGGACCAGGACACAGGGGTCGGGGAGAAGCCGAGCCGGGCCTCACCTGCTGGGGAATGAAGGAGCTGGAGAAGGTGACGGCCGACCAGAAGAAAATGCCGCAGCTGAGAATCACCTTCCTGTTGAAGCGGTCGCCCAGGTAGCCGAAGATGGGGGCAGCCACCATGAAGCTACAGATGAACACTGCAGGGAGAGGAGAGCTTGAGGGGGGGCCCAGGTCCCTGCGCCCCGGCCTCCCGGCCCATTTCACTCCGGCTTGGGGCCAAGAGTCTGTGGAGCAAAGGGACCAAGGAAGCAGCCCAGAGAGGAAACCTCGGCCCGACCTGCACCCCAGGAAGGTGGGAAAGGCCTTACGAGGTCAGGCAGGTCCATGACGCCATCCTCTCCCATGTATGTCCAGTTCGCCCAGTTTGTCCAGGTTTGGGTGAGCCCTTTGGGTACTTTTTAAAAGAGTCAAGATCTATTTATTGAACACTTTCTACATGCCACACACTATGCTAGGGGCTCACCATGTCATATCTCACATATCTTTTTAAAATTTTATTTTTATTGTTTTGAGACAGGGTCTCGCTCTGTCACCCAGGCTGGAGTGCCGTGGCACACTCTCGGCTCACTGCAACCTCCATCTCCTGGGTTCAAGCAATTCTTATGCCTCAGCCTCCTGAGTAGCTGGCATTACAGGCATGCGCCACCACACTTGGCTAATTCTTGTATTTTAGTAGAGATGGGGTTTTGCCATGTTGGCCAGGCTAGTCTTGAACTCCTGGCCTCAAGTGATCCACCCACTTTGGCCTCCCAAAGTGCTGGGATTACACGTGTGAGCCACCGCGCCCAGCCATATCTCATCATGTATCTTTGTATCTCATGTATTACGTATCTTTCCAGCCCCCTCCCACCTCACAGATGCGGAGACAGACTCAGAGGGAGAGTGACTTGGCCAAGACCCCACAGGCAGTAAATGTTCCAGTGGGGATCTGACACCAGCTGCCTGACTCCAGAGCCTGTGTTCCTTATACTTTACCACACTGCACCCCTTGTTCTACTTGTGAAAGAAGCTCAGAGAGGGGAAGAGATCTACGCAAGGTCACACAGCAAATCAGGCAGAACTGGGCCTGGAACTCCAGATTTCGCACCTGCTAGACCACACAGCTGCCCTCACTCCCAGCGCGCCGCAGGGCCTTTCCTAATGGCTGAAAACACTGTCATCCATCTGTCCATTCTACCGTCTTGTCATTCAACAACAACAATTTTTTTGTACCTACAATGCACCAGGAACCGTTTTAGGTGTTTGGGATATATCAATCAACAAAAGAGACAAAAACCCCTATCCTATGAAGCTTTCATTCGAATGAGGAGAAATAGACAATAAAGAAATAAACAAATCAATAACACAGCTTGTCAGATGGTGGCAAGTGCTACAGAGGGTGGGAGGGGCTGAAACAGGAGCTTGGAAGGGTGTGTGTGAGAGCAAGTGGATGCCACGATTTTATATTTTTTGAGACAACAGTCTCACTCTATCACCCATGCTAGAGTGCAATGGTGCAATCTCCGCTCACTGCAACCTCTGCCTCAGCCTCACGAGTAGCTGGCATTACAGGCACACACCATCACGCTCTGCTGATTTTTGTATTTTTAGTAGAGACGGGGTTTCACCGTGTTGGCTAGGCTGGTCTCCAACTCCTGACCTCAGGTGATCCACCTGCCTCGGCCTCCCAAAGTGCTGGGACTACAGGCGTGAGCCACCGTGCCTGGCTGAGAGAAATTTATTGATATAGTTAGCTGGTGTTTTATTTGTTTGTGAGACAGTGTCTTGCTCCGTTGCTCAGGCAGCTGGAGTGCAGTGGTGCGATTTCCGCTCACTGCAACCTCCGCCTCCCAGGTTCAAGCAATTCTCCTGCCTTAGCCTCTTGAGTAGCTGGGATTACAGGCGCCTGCCACCACGCCCAGCTAATTTTTGTATTGTTAGTAGAGACGGGGTTTCTCTATGTTGGCCAGCCTGGTCTCAAACTCCTGACCTCAAGTGATCTACCTGCCGCGGCCTCCCAAAGTGTGGGATTACAGGCGTGAGCCACTGCACCCGGCCACCACAATTTTAAATTGAGCGGTCAAAGTGGGTATTTCAGCCAGGACCTGGAGGAGGTAAGGAAACAAATCACGCAATTATTGGGGCAAGAACAGCAAGTGCCTAGGCCCTGGGGCAGGAGTTTACTTAGCATGTTGGAGGAGCAGGAAAGAGGCTGGGGTGGGGCCCCGGAGCCCACTGTGATGACTGTGACGTCCATGGGTGAGAAAGGAAAACATGAGGGGATGTCGAACAAAGGCCGTGACCTGGCTTTGTTCTTCCAGAACAAGAGGTTTAGAAGATTCCACAGGGAGGCCACTGCCAGTGATGGGAGGGGCCTTGGAGGTCCCAGGTGGGATGAAGAGGCCCAGAGCAAGGTAGGGTGGACCCTAGGTCACACAGCGAGGTGGCCCCCCATCCCTCCCCCTGGAAAGCAGTCCCACAGCTGATGGGCAGATGGCCAGACAAAGGCTGGGAGTGACAGACATGGCAGCCAGTTGGCCTCTGACCGCCAGGCTGAATGTGTGCGTGGTCCCGGCTGCTCCTCCGTGGGCCTGAGACCCTGGCGAGATGGGACCTGAGAGAAGAGAAAGAGGGAGGGAGGAAGGAGGAAAAGAGAGAGGTGAAAGAGAGGCGAGAGGGCCAGGCAGAGCTCCCCTGAACCTGGCTGGAGGAGTGACTGCCCCTCTTTTATGCCAGCAAGAACAGGCCAGTGAGTGCGCGTGGGTGGTGGGTGTACGAGCAGACCTGTTAATTCCAGAGGCCTTGGGGAGAATCAGCATGCGGGTGCACAAATCCGGGCATGAGGCACACTCCCTGGGCTCAAATTCACCTCCGCTCCTTCCCAGCCGGTGACCTCAGTCAGGCCACAGCCATTCTGTGTCTCACCTTCAGTGGTGTGCTGATATATGTTTAACTGGCTCTGATAAAGGGTGAGGGGAGCCCTGATGTGGCGTGTTTGCTCATTTCTTTTTTTTCTGAGATGGAGTTTCGCTCTGTCGCCCAGGCTGGAGTGCAGTGGCACCGTCTCAGCTCACTGCAATCTCTGCCTCCCGGGTTCAAGCGATTCTCTTGCCTCGGCCTCCCAAGTAGCTGGGATTATAGGCATCTGCCACCACGCCCGGCTAATTTTTGAATGTTTAGTAGAGACAAGGTTTTGCCATGTTGGCCAGGCTGGTCTCAAACACCTGATCTCAGGTGATCCTCCTGCCTCGGCCTCCCAAAGTGCTGGGATTACAGGGGTGAGCCACCGTGCCCGGCCGTGTTTGCCCATTTCTGTGGTGTAAACACTCCGCCCTGGCTGAGTTCAAGCTACCCACGTCGTGTCACTGATGGGCGTTGGAAAGGGATGTGCGGGGACACGCCATTGTCCAGTGTTTCTACCACACAAATAGAACAGACGCCACTCACCATAGGACCACAGATAACGCTGAAACACAGCAAAATAATTAGGAAGTGAGGACTTTTGAGTAGTTATTACCTTGTTTCTAATTATTTAATTGTAAGCCGATATCATTTAGTTTTTAACAATGGTTGTATTTTACGACTAGCTCACACACCATTCCTGAAATGTTAACAATTGACTCTCATGAGCTGGCCTGAGCCAGCGCCAACATGCCAGCATCCTCATCTGTAAAATGAAGATAAAAATAGCAGCTCTCCAGGGTGGGTCTGGGTGCTGGATAGCACGTGCAAGGTGCTTAATGCCACACCCTGCCCAGAGCAGGCCGGCCTTGGTCAACACTGGGCCCTTGTTTAAATTAGTCAAGGCAGAAATTATTTCCTCACATTTAGAAAAAGAATTTTTCCTGCTGGGCCTGCCTCCAAGGACCTGCCTGAGATCAGATCAGAATGTGGCAGGAGGGAGATTTCCAGTTGCATCAGGACTGACACATGTTGGGGGAGGAGGAGGAATTGTTCTCCCTGTGCCTGTCTGTGCTAGGTGGCAAGTGGACAGAAGGAATCAGAAGAGAAGTTTCCCCCTGTCTGGCCAGGGGCAGATCTTGTTCATAGGTTGCTCTGTTTAAAGGACAACCTATGTTGGGGAACCACCAAGGAGCTCCAGATCCTGCCAGGATAATGAAGAGAGGCTTCCCGGAGGCGGTGGTGACAAAGCTGGGCACTGAAGCATGCATAGGAGTTTACCGCTAAGATAATACTTAACATCAAGAATATACGCTGAAATATAAACTTCAGATCAGCAATATTGTATAATGGTTCACGAGGCATGATGCTTAGTGTTCATGATAACTGCAGTTATTATTTATGGATATATAGGCAAGGCCCAGCATGCAGCCTTGACATATGCACAGATGATCTCTTTTGATTCTGTTCTCTTCATTTTACAGAGGAGACAATGGAGGCCAAAAGAAGTGATGTCACACAGCGAGTGTGCGGCTGAGCCAGAATTTAAATCCCAGTTTGGCAGACTCCAGAGTCCTTGCTCTAAATCACTCCCCAGACTGCCATGCTGGGAAGGGGGAAGGTCCCAGCTGATGTTCCCAAGGTCAGGGAAAGTTCAGGGCCTGCTGAGGACAGCAAGGAGACAGGTCAGGCCATGGCCTGAGGATGCTCAAGAGGAAGCAGCGAGAGATGAGGCTGTGGAGGGAGGACTGGGCTAAAGACCAGGACAGGGTTTGGTGTTTAGAAGGCGGCAGAGAACCACAGCGCGCTCTCTCCACCCCGCCCCCCAACACCATGGTAGGATCCTTGAAAAAGCCCCCTCCCGGGGGGGTGACGAGGGACTGGAGGGACGTGACCCAGACCTTCGCCAGACCCCGGCCATCATGCTCCATTCTCTCCTCTTGCCCACAGTGGAGCAGGAAGCACGGGCCCTTCTTAGCTCTTTCAACCCCTCCCTGGTTTCTGGCTCCTCACTTAGATGGGCAGAAGTCCCCAGGACTGCAGGTGGACTCCTGGCAGAAGCTGGCACGCCCCGTCCCCACCCACCGGCCCCAGCCTGATGAACTTGCCCAAGCACCTACGTGCCCTTAGCTCACCTGATCCTCCCCACGTCCATCCCTATCTAACAGCTGAGGTCACTGAGGCCCCAAGAGGTGGAGGAAGTTGCCCGAGATGACAGACCAAATTAGGAAGGCACAGTCTGGACCAGCCTGCCCCTCAGTGTCTTCCCTTGGGACATGGCAGTCCAGGGTCAGGAGGGAGGTGGGATCCATCACTGCTGCCCTCTCTCTGCTCAGGACAGACAGGAGGGAGGACCCCGCCTGGCCCCCTGGAGGTCACAGGCCATGGAGGGGCCTGAACACAATCAGGGTAGGGACGGGGAGGGGGCTGAGAGAATGTTCCTGGCAGAAGGGACAGGATAGGCGAAGCCTTGCCCATGTGGACTGTGTCCGATGGGGACACAGAGGCCAGCAGGCAACTCTGCTGAGAATAAAGACCAGCCTGGGCTGGGCCTCCAAGCTAGAAGCTTCCCCTGCCCACCACCCCGCAATCCCGTGGTCTTTGTTTGTTTGAGGAGAGCTTTCTGGGCAGACTGGCAGCCCCACCCCTGGTTTTGGTAGGGGCGGCTTTCCCAGCAGTTCCCGCAGGGACATCCTGTGGAGGGTGTGCTGAGCCCACAGGTCTAGGACAATGGAGAGGCAGGGCAGGGAGCCAGGGCCGAGCGGGCAGGGCCGTGACAGCAGGGAGGGAGGGGTCAGACCAGCCCGCCTGCCTCGGGGTCTTGGGCCAGGGCCTCACTCCCTCCTCCTCGCCAGGCTGGCAGGAGGCCGTCAGAAAGCCAGTGCTGTCCACCTCTCACGGCAGCCCAGAGCTCAGAACCCCCACGGGCCCTCGGTGTCCTGGTGGGCAGCCCCAGGACCCCTGTCCATGGTGAGCGGAGCCATCCCCATGGCACACATGGCCTGTATGACCCCAGAAAGCAGTTTTGGAGCAGGAAAGGGCAAGTCTGAGCTTGAGGGAGCCCTGAGCCCCCGCCCTGTGGCCTTGGAGCCTGCATTCAGCCCTTGCTTCGGCCTGGGCTGAGCCACGGCTATTTTTACATGGCTGATCTGTTATTTGGAGAAGACCTACCATCCTCCACATCCTGTGGGCAGGGAGGGTGCTCAGGCAGGCATGGGTGGGGCGGGGGCCAGGCTCTGCCATCCAAGGGACGGCCTGGGCTGGCCAAGCTGACGGAGAATGCTCAGGACAGATGGCCCCATCAGCGCCTGAAAGCTCACCACGCTCAGACTTCCCGGTGGAAGGACGGGAACACCTGCTCTGTGATCCCCTACTCAGGATGTAAACCTTGTGTTGGGCTCTCAGGCCTCAGGGTGAATGAGGTTTTGGGGCCACTCCTTGAAAAGGAGGGCTTTGGGGAACAGCCGCAGGGGCTGCCCGGCTGTGCCTTCAGAACCCAAGTCTGCTGAAGCAGGAGTCGCTGGGCTGGCCAAAGACGGGAGGGGAGAACAGGCAGAAGGAGACTTACCCCCAAAACAGAGGCACTGTCTGGTTTCGGTTTGAGCTGGCTCTTCCTCTGTCCCCACTCTCCCTCCGTTCCCCCATCCCCATCCTGGCACTTCCTCGTGAGCCTACAAACCCCGGCCCTGAGTAGCCTTCAGCTTCCTCTGCTGCCCCTTCCCACACTTGGTCCCAGAATGAATATCCTGAGACACACATCTTTTTTGTTTGTTTGTTTTTGTTTTGTTTTTGAGACGGAGTCTCGCTCTGTCGCCCAGGCTGGAGTGCAGTGGCGCGATCTCGGCTCACTGCAAGCTCCGCCTCCTGGGTTCATGCCATTCCCCTGCCTCAGTCTCCCGAGTAGCGGGATTACAGGCACCCGCCACCACACCCGGCTAATTTTTTGTATTTTTAGCAGAGACGGGGTTTCACCATGTTAGCCAGGATGGTCTCGATCTCCTGACCTCGTGATCCACCCGCCTCAGCCTCCCAAAGTGCTGGGATTACAGGCGTGAGCCACCGCGCCCGGCCCGAGACACACATTTTACACGGACTGCCCTGTTCCAAAACCTTCTCTGGCTCCCTACTGCCCCAAGACAAAACCTACATGCCTTATCTTGGCCTTCAAGCCTTTCACACTCAGACCCTGCCCACTGTCCAGCCTCTTCTCCTTCTGTTCTCCCCATACGCCAACCCATGGCCAATGGGCCACAGGCCACTCGAGTCAGGCAGTGCCACAAACAGCCTTCGTTCTCCCTCACCCTTCCCTGTGTTGCATTGACGCTGATTTCCTCAGATCTAGCTTCTAATTCACTTTTCTTTTCAACTAGGTGTAGTCTACTCATTAACTCACCTAATTATTCCATTTTTTATTTTAATACATATTTTTCACTTCTGGTATTTTCGAATATTAGTCTTTTAAACATTTTCCGGTTCTCTTTTCATAATGTTCTGTTCTTGTCTTACAAGTCCTATCCTTTCCTTTAGAGCTTTGAATATTAAACACACCTAATTTTAAAGTCCCTTTGTGACGAATCTGTTTTCCCATCTTCAGGGTCAGCTGACTCCCTCTCAAAAAAATGAGGGAGAACTGTATGCTCTATTAATTTTTTTTTTTGAGACGGAGTCTTGGTCTTGTTACCCAGGCTGGAGTGCAGTGGTGTGATCTTGGCTCACTGCAACCTCCACCTCTTGGGTTCAAGCGATTCTCCTGCCTCAGCCTCCTGAGTAGCTGAGATTACAGGCGCCCACACCATGCCCAGCTAATTTATGTATTTTAGTAGAGATGGGGTTCACCATGTTGGTTCAGGCTGGTCTCAAACTGCTGACCTCGGGTGATCCACCCGCCTCAGCCTCCCAAAGTGCTGGGATTACAGGTGTGAGCCACCGCGCCTGGCCTGCTCTATTAATTTTGAATTTGAGTTTGTCTTCAGTGGAAATTGTCCCGTGTCCCATGCAGGCTCTGGGTCATGAAGAATTCCCTAAGGAATGGTTTGGGATTTGCTTCTGCCAGGGTCCCTGGAAACAGAGGGGGCCTCTATGGGGAAGGAAGTGGAAGCCCCAGGCCTGTACGGAGCAGGGGCTGGAACTAGCCAGCGCCAGGTGGGAAATGCCCATTCTCGAAAGGGAACTCTACCAGAAAAACTACCCAGCAGCCTGGGGACACAGCTTGGAATCAGGAAGCTTGGATGGAAACAAAATCACCCACGGTTAGAACGAAGAAACCCCAGGCCCGGAAACTGAGCCAGGCGGGCGTTCCCTTGATGAATCTGGGTGATGTGTTCTATGGAAGTTCGTTGCGCCATTCTCACTACTTTTTATGTCTGTTTAAAATTTTTCATGATAAAAATGTTTATATTGAAAATACCGTAACAAGCTTCGAAGACGTTTATCTGGTCCCTAAACACTCTGCATCACTTGGCTTCAATTCTAGCTCCCACTCCGGTTTTTGAGTTCAGCTCTCTGCTTCTGGCATCTGGGAATTTCCCTGCTAGCTTTAGCTGTCAAGCTCAGCTTTGTAATTTCAACATGTTTTCTTGGCATATTTTATCTAGCTTGGAGGGGAAAGGAGGGCTTCACACATCTACTCGATCTCACACACTGACTACAAACTCTAACTCATCCTTCAAAGCCCCATTCAAACGTCTCCTCCTCAGGGAAGTGTTCTCCGCGGCCACCGGCCAGAGCTAGGTGCACGCTCTCTGCCGTCCACCCAGGCTCCCACAGCCCCCTGTGCCTGGGTGGTGGCTTGATGATACGTTTTCTGCCCCCATAGATAGAGGGAATCTACCTGAGGGTAAGAACTGAGTCTGGGCAGAGCCCAGCACACGGCCTGCCAGGCAGTAGGTTCAGTGGCAGCTGCTTCTCTAGGTGTAGGCCATGGGGGCTCCTGATTTCCCAAAACAGCAAAACCTATGAGCGGTTTTTTTGTTTTTTTTTTTTTTTTTTTTTTTTTTTGGGGAGATAGAGTCTCACTCTGTCACCCAGGCTGGAGTGCAATGGCGCAATCTGGGCTTACTGCAATCTCCGCCTCCTGGCTTCAAGCGATTCTCCTGCCTCAGCCTCCCGAGTAGCTGGGATTACAGGCATCCACCACCACACCTGGCTAATTTTTGTATTTTTAGTAGAGATGGGGTTTCACTATGTTGGACAGGCTGGTCTCGAACTCCTGACCTCAGATGATCCACCTGCCTCAGCCTCCCAAAGTGCTGGGATTATAGGCGTAAGCCATAGGCGCCCAGCCTATGAGCTGTAATTCTGCTGTGGGCTTTCAGAGAGCCTGAGATATGGCTCCTGCAGGGGGTCCAGGGGCCAGGTCCAAACCAGCAGCCATCTAATCTGCAAAGGGGCTGCTGAAAGTGGGCTCATCCTCAGCAGTTTTCCTGCCTGGTCCCAAGAGGGAAACAGCAGGGGCAAGCCCAGGCCTAACCCTCAGCCACCCCCACTCCCTGTCTCCTGGCCCAGCAGCCCCTGGTGCCACAAATAAGCAGGCAGCCCAGCTCTCAGCCCTGGCCCTTTGATCTGGGCAAGCACCAACACCTGGCTGGCGCCCTCCACCTGGCTCCGACCTTATCGGGCTTGGGGAAGGCACAGGTGCCTGGGACACAGGCCAATTATGTGACTTGCCTAGTTGTCCACTGAGTAACATCATGGTCTACTCGACTGGCTTCTTGGCTTAGGTGGCCAAAGGGGTGAGGGCACCCTGGGGAGCCATCCTAGCTGTGCCGGGGTAGGTGACAGGTGAGGGCCATGGTGTACAGACTAGAGGGTCCCTCAGAATGCTGGCAATTCTCACCATGGCCCAGAGGCACCCGCCCTGGGGACACTGAGATGCCAGGTATCCAGGCTCCCCCCCAGCCTATGGGCAGCAGAGGCAGAGGCCCAGGTCCCTATTCCAGGCCGGCTGCTCTCCACTGCCAGCCCTCAAGCAAGCCATTTCCCTGTCTTGGGCCTTTGTCCCTGTATCTGGTAAGTGCAGCTGACAAACAGAGCCCGTAGGGTTACTGGAAGAATGAAACAAGACAATGCCTGTGTGTGCTTTGTCCACCTCCAGCCAGGCCACCGGGATGAGGAGGGACGGAGTGACTTCTCTTTCATGAGCCCGAGAAGCCAGCCTGGGACAGAACCGCAGAAAGAACCAGGGAACCCTCACACCTGCCTTGAGCCGAGCCCCCAACCCCCTGCCCGGCCTGTGACCCTCCCCACCATTCCCTGTACCTCCCGCCCCCTCCCTGGGCTGTGCTGGCCCCGACCATGCTCAGTGGTCATTAAATGGAGGATGCGTGGGGTAGAGCCTTGCTCCAGATGAGGCAGTGAGGCCGGGACCAGGAGGGGGATGAGGCTCGGGCCAGGTCCCCAGTGAGTCAGGGGCCACACAGGGCGGGGGTTGGGCAGCTAGGCCTTCTCCCACCCTTTCCTTGCCAGCCTGGCAGCCCACTCCTTCCCATGCGCCCATGTGGCTGGAACTCCATTTCCCAGCTGCAGTGCTGGTCACTGCATGCACACAGCCCAGAGGGCTAGAGGAACCTGTCTCAGGCGGCAGGGCAGGCAGACTTATTCTGGCCTAGCCAGGGAGACCCAGGAAGGGGTAGGGGAGGCGTTGGGCTCATGGCCTGGGAAAACATGATGTCTGCCAGGGCAGGGACCTGGCCACCTATAGGGGATACTGGACCGCACGGCCCTGCCCCATCCTAGAACAGTCAAGTCTCACTTGAGCCTGAGAACCATCGCAACCCCTCTCTCTGAGCCCCAAAGTCCCCATCTGGGCTGTAAGGACAGCTAGGAAGGGAGGTGGGGGGAGTGGCTGTGGCATTCTGTGAGCTCGGGAGGGATTGTGAGTACTGGAATGCCACTTAGACAGGTCAGGCAGGTTCCTGGACAGAACGAGCTCACTCCACCCCCTCCCTCCCAGGAGGGCCCAGGCAGGGGAAGGGGTTCACCGACTGGACTGGAATGCAGACCATGGGGACCTCATCCTGCATCTGACGGGGGCTCACAGCCAGATGGACTCCAGGGCCAAGGGCCCAGAGAAAGCAGGATCCAGGCTGGGGCCACACAGCATGACTAGGGCAGAGTCAGGACCAGGCCTCCCGCCCCAAGCCCTGAGTGGCAGCACTGGCCTTAGTCTCTGCCCAGGCCTGAAGGTTGCTGCTAAGAGCATCGCCAACATGGCCTCAGCCAGTGGGAAGGCCAGGGAGCCAAGGGCCCAGCTCCCACAGGGCCATGTCATGGGGAAGGCAGGGACAAGGGAGGCACGCTCCCTGGAGGGAGGGGCTGGTGGGCTGCCATAAGTGCTTAATGGCCTCCCACACTGTCCCGGCCCAGCTTCCAGCAGCCTGGGGGCTCAGGCCCTGCTCTGGCAGCCCATCAGAAGCCTGGGCCCCAGGGGAGAGGGTGGTAGGGAACCTCAGGCCCACGTCCAGTCCAGGGCCCAGATTCTCAGGCGCCTGCCCCGGGCTTGGGAACCGCTCTGGGGCTGACTAGCTGGAGTTTTTTGCTTCGTCACCTAAGAGGCGATTCCCAGGGTTGATGATATTGGAAGGAATGTGGGGGAGGGCAGGAGATAAAAACAGGGTCACCACGGCTCTGCTGGCATTGCCCAACTTACTGAATTAAGGAGCTCCCTGCACCAGCCTCAGGAGGGAGCCTGGATCACTGGGTCCCGATGAGGCCCCAGGACCCAGAGAAAGTTCACCTCTGCAACCTCTGCCTGCACTCTCCTTTACCTGCCATAGCCCCTCAGGGCAGGTATTATTCATTTTGTTACACAAGAAAAGCAGCAGAGGCTCAGAGAAGCAGTGCCATTGGCAGGTGGCAATAGTGAGACTGGGATGCAAAGCCCACTCTCTTTCCAGGAGTCAGGACAGGGGAAGACAGACCGGGTGGCAGATGACGACCAACAGGACAGGACCCACGACGCCAACGCCTGGGCGTGGGGGGGAAGGTGGGAGGTGGGCCTCACCTGACTGCAGCAGGCCGGCGCCTCGGTCCTTGACCCCAAAGTGCTGCTGGATGTCCAGAAGGACGCCTGGAGGGAAGACAGAGGGTGCTCACTGGCCGAGTCTGATGGCTGGTGTCCCCACAGACCAGCCCAGCCTCTTTCCCGCCTTGCAGGGCCCAGCCTGGCCATATCTGCGGCACTCCTGCTCTGCTGCGACCTCTACCCTGCCCAGGTTTCCCAGGCTTCCCTCCTGCCTCCCCGGGGACCTCCTGTCCTCAGCCTGTTCCCATCACTCACAAGGACCCGAGGGGCAGGGAAAGGCAGGGCTCCTCTGCGGTCATTCTGCCCCATGGGCAACCACACCTCCTATCTGCCAGCTTGGGCCTCTTCCCTACCTGCGGCCCAGGCCGTGGATCAGTGCAATAGACATAGGCCTTTCCCTCAGGGGGAACACAAAGCCCATGACTCAGAGAGCAGCGGGGGCCCTGAAAGCTGCGGGGAGCCCTCTGGCCTGGGAGGGGCAGCCGCTCACTCTGGTTCACCTGCACATGTGCACAACCACATTCGCACACACACGCACACACCTGTACATGCACACACACACCTGCACACGCACGCACGTGTGTGCACACACCTGCACACATGCATACACACCCACGCGCGCACACACATACCCGTGCGCGCGCACGCACACACACACACTGTCACCCCAGCTGCCCTCAGGATTATAACCGGGCCCCTCCATTTTCAGATTCTGGCCCAGGGTACAGAGGGAAGCAGGCGGGGCTCCAGGCCCGTTTTCTTGGGAGAAGTGGATTTCTTGAGGCCACACCCGCTTCCAAGCCCAACTACTTTAGGGCTTTGCACGTCACGGGGTGGGGGCAGCAGCTGGACCACCCAGAAACCACCCACAGCCCCAGCAGACTGGCAGAGCCATGGCTTCTGGGGGACAGGCAGGATCTTGGACCTCCTACCCCTCGCAGCACTCAGCCAGGGCTCCTGAGTAAGCACAACCCCCATCCCCGTGGGCCTCAGGGTCCCTGCCTGCATTATCTGTGAGGACAGGAGGACCCAGGGCACAGGCCAGAGCCCCGCTGACCATAGCACATCTGCAGTGAGAAGGGACAGCGGAAGAAGGAAGAGGAGATGGCCCTGCCTTTGGGGGCCTTACAGGCAGGGACAGAAGCCTTTGGGGGACTCCAGAGCTCTTCATGATGACGATGATGATGGCAGCATTCAACAGATGATGGTTTGCCGAACTGAGCATTAAATGCCTGTATAATCCCCACACAGCCCTAGGAGGCTGGTACTAGGATCCAAGTTGACAGATGAGGAAACTGGAGCATAGGAAGTCAGGCTGTGGGCTCAAAGTCACACCACAGGGAAGTAGGAAAAAGTGGAATCTCCAGGTGCTGTATGAGGATCCTGCTGGCAGCTGGGACTGGGGGTGTGGAAGGAGTGGGGAGGCTGGAACGTCACTGTCCCTTCCGAGACCCAGGTTGGAATCCTGAGCAATTTCCCGGAATGCAGGACAGACGGGCGGATGTCCCAGCAGCCTGACAGCCAGAGAAGCTGTCTTCCTCCTTGTTAATGCCCTGAGTGGGTTGACCATAATTACCCGTAATGAAGAGGCTGTGTGAGGCCCAGTTAATGACTTAATAACCAAGGCAGAGGCTGTGGCTTTGCCTTGAAGGTAGAAGCCGGGGCCAATCCTAGGCCTGTGGATGGCAGAGCCAGCAAGAGGGACCTCTGAGGTGCCCTGACCCAGCCCCAGAGGCTCACAGCCCCACAACCCATTCCTTTCTGGGTCAGGACTCTGTTCCCCCTCCTGATGTGTAGGTTTGATCCCATCCCTCTGTGGCACAGTCACTTCACAGGGTGAAGGTGTGGCCCTGCCAGCCCCGCCCTCCGGCCTCACTTCTCAGGACACCACCCCTCCACTAGCCACCCCAAACTACTCATGGCCCCCTGACTCTGCACACTTCCTCTTCTATTCTGGTACAACTCCGTCAACCAGGCTCACTCCTGCCACTTCTTCAAGGCCAGTTCAGATGCCTCCTGTTCTGGAATATCTCCCCTGCTTGCTCCCCTCCCACCACCCTCAATAAGTTAGTTGCCCCCACTCTTCCCCTGTCCAAACTCGTTTTAGCACTGGGCCTACCAGGATGAGTGGGTTCTATAGGGAATGCACACAGAAGCACAGCTATGAGCTCCTCCTGAGCTGAGAGCCGCTAGTTACCGCTTCCCGCTAAGTTCCAAGGAACTGCGTGAGGCTTTGAAGATGGTACAGACGCTGTCCTCACTATCTGTGCTGGTATTTATGATTCTCATCCCATTTTATATAGGAAGAAACCGAGGCTCTGAGACATGAAGTAATTTGTCACACAGTACATTCTGTTTTGGAGGTGAGATCTGAAACGAGGTCTATTGCCAAAAACCAAAGCTCGTTCTCCTGCCACGCTGCCTTCTGCGTGGTTTGCTGGTGTCCTCCAGGGCCCAGCACACACATAACCCACAGGGACTTTACACGTGGGTGAATGTTTCTTCATCCTCCACTAGACCACAAGCCAGGCAGGAGCCGTGGCCGGTCATCTCCAGGACTCAGAGCAGGGACAGTCACGATTTTGGTGTCGGGTGGACAAGAGGATGGGCGGAGTCAGGAGGAGGCAGGAGGGTCCCCATCCATAGTCCAGAGGAGGGACACGGGTCTGCAGTAACTGCAGGTTCCATTTCTGGGAGGGAGGCCATATCAAAATAGCCATCATGATGACATCCTGTGTCCACGGCAAATCAAAGCACTCTCGCTTCCTCCCTGCAGTATCCAGCTATCCAGCGGCACACTTCCCCATCCGATGACTTCAAGGTCCAGGATTTGCCTCTGCCTCCAGGAAGCCTTCCCCTGACTTCCTACCACATAGAGCTCCTGGTAGAGGGAGAACATTCCTCCACATCCAGATGGGCGTCTAAGGTCTCTGGGAAGTCCTGGGCAGTTCCCAGGACACAGGAAGCTTTTGGATAACATGGCCTGCTCCCGTCCCACCACTCCCCAGCGCCCAGTCTTGGGTCCAAGTCCAAGCTCCAGGAAGAAGACCAGAGAGAACCTTCCCAGGGAGCAGGGCTTCCTGCAGGCTGCGAGGCCCAAGGTCGGACCTGGGCTGAACCTTTCTGGCTTGCTTTCCCTCTTCCGGGCCTGGAGGCGGCCACAGCCACAGGAGGGTGAGATCCCGCTGGCCGCTGGCACGGGAAGCGTGTGTCACAGCAGCTCGGCGGGTCGCCTCAGATTTTCCTTTGGGCTCCAGCACGGCTCAGGCCCACGCACCCCTCCCTTCTTCACCACAGCCTTATTTTTAGCCTCTTTCCTGGAGGCTGAGGTTTGGTGGGTCACAGGATGGGCCTCACGCCCAGGAGCAGCCTCCCACAGCTCAGGCCAAGCCCACCCCGCCAGGCGTGCATGCAAAGTGGGGTTCCTACCCCAGATGCAGACCCCAGCCAACACAGCCACAATGCAGGCCTCTCCAGGCATACCCCAAATCCACAGCTGGAATCGTCTCCTAGCCACAGGGTTCTCATCACCCAAGAAAACATTCTGGAACAACATCCATTGACAAGTTACGTACCTCCCAAGCCCCAGGAGGTCTCACCTCTTGTCTGAGGCCAACGTCCCCTACTCTGGGCCAACAGTCTCTCTCGCCTGGCAGGGAGGCTGCGCTGGGTCAGTCCTTGGCTTGGGCCCGTGCACTCAGCCTCTCCCTGGCTTCCGGCTCCTGCACAGCAGCCCACAAACACGCCCACACCTCCCTCACCCTGGTGGTGAGAACAGCTCTGACTTGTCCCCTCTGCCAGCTGTTCCTTTCCTCTCCTCCTTTCACAGGTGACAGCATTTGTTGTTGTTTTGAGACAGGGTCTTGCTCTCTGACCCAGGCTAAAGTGCAGTGGCACAATCACAGCTCACTGCAGCCTCAGCCTTTTGGGCTCCAGCCATCCTCCTGCCTCAGCCTCCCGAGTAGCTGGGACCACAGGCGTGGACCACGACACTTGGCTAAGAACTCTGGAGAGTTCTTTCCCTTCCCAAGTCAATATTCTCACCTCCTTTCCTCCTCTGAAACCAACCACCTCCTGGAGGCTCAACCCCTGGACGCTCTCATCCCTGTTTCCCAGCCTCCTGACTGATTCCTCAGCTCACCACTGGGTCCCCATTCCCTGAGCGGACCCTGTAGGACACTGCAGGACCCTGGGAGTCAGCCAGGATACCCCTTTGGCTCCCTCCACCTCATGAATGGGCCCCGGTGATTCTCCATCTGCTTTATCGTCCAGCCTCCTCCCTGGACTCCCTGCCTCCAGCCCCTGCCGGCCAGCCGGCATCCCTCCTGCTGCCTGATCTCACAAGCTCTTACGAATCTCCTACTGAGTTCTAAGTCCTGGTCTGGGCCTCTAGAGACCCCGAGACAGTGCCTGGACTCAAGGAGCTAACGCTGTGGCCCACTGGTGACCTCTGGCCTCAGAGTCGTCCATCAGTCCTTTAAGATCCACTGGCCCAGACCCCTGGCTCAGTAATGGTACCAATAACAACAGCGACAATGCACATATTGACACATATCCACCAACTACTTTGTGCCAGGCGCTGTTCTACGAGTATTGGCCCAGTGGGTACGGCTGCCCACTCACACTTAGCAGCCCCATTGCCGCCCAGAATTCTAGCATCTGAGGCCTCCACGGTCTGGCCCTAAGCCAGCTCTTCTCCCAACCACAGTGCCCACCGCACACACATACAGCCCCTGACTCCAGGCAAAGGGAAATGCTGCTAGCCATGACTTTTCACCTCCCTGGACCCCTATTTCTTCCTGTGTAAATGCAGAGACTGGGAAGATCCCCAAACCTGCCTGAGAATCCCAATCACCTTTAGGGAAGGTGCTTATTAAAATACAGCTTCCTGGGGCCCTCCCCAAATCTGCAGAGTCACCCTTTCTAGATGTGGGACCTAAGAATCTATAAACGCACTGCCCAGGTGATTGGAAACCACTGGCCAGGCTGCTCTGAGTTCCCTGGAATCACACATCACAGGCTGTAGGCCGCCCAGCCCTGGCCACAGCTGTGCCTCTTCCTAGGCTATCCCTCTCTAGCCATTAAGACCTGCCTCACCTCTAGGGCGCAGATCCAAAGTCGCGTCTACCAGGATACCTGCGCCTCTCTCCTCTGAGGCTCTTGGTGAAGTGGTGCCTGTAACCTCAAGGGCACCCCCAGAACTGGATGGACTCTGGCCCTGACTCACTCAACAGCTTGCCCCAGACACTCACAGTGATTCCCCATCACTGCTGGTTCTTCAGTAGCCCCGAGAGGAGTCAAGCCCCGATTCCAGGACTTCTGGCCTCCTCCTCCCTCCTCCAGCCAGGCCCAATCTGCTGACATCACAGAATCCTCGAAAGGCCAAGGTGTAAGAGGAAATCCACACTGACCTCAAGAGCCCTCGGCTCAGGCCAGCCTCAAATGCAAGATGCCAACAGCGTGATCCTGAGGTCTCTTCCTTCCTAGGCAGCCCAGACAGGGCACCTGGCACTCAAGCTTGTCCCCGCGTACCCCCTGCTTTCCCCAAGCACAGTCAGTATCAGCCCACGTTCACCCTACCTGAGCCTGTCTCAGAGCAGCAGGTGGCTTAGCTAAATTCTCAAGAGCATGGGCTCTGGAACTGGAGCATCTGGGTTTAAATCCTGGTTTTCCCACTTTCTCTGCTGTGTGACCTTGGGGAAATAACATAACCTCTCTGTGCCAGTTTCCTCCTCTGTAATATGGCTTAATTTGAAGACCTGCTTCATTTCATATGGTTGTTGTGAGGTTTAAGTAGGTTAATCCACATTCAGTGTTTAGAATAGTGCCTGGCACATAGTAGGTCCTCAATAAATGTCATAAATGTTATCATTTGTAATTAACTAGTGGGACAGGACACAGCCCCAGCTATGACCTGAGAACAATGGGGCATTCCCACCTTGGTTTTCTTTTATCCAAAATGGGGGCAGATGCCTGGAAAGACAGGGCCTAGCAATCTGAAAGGATGGGCCCTGATGCCCTTCACCAGTCCCTCTCAGAGGGACCCAGGTCCCCATGTGGAGGCCTCAGTGCTGGCTCACGCTGGGAGTCTTACCCCTGCTCCCGCTTGGCTGCAGCTCCCACCCCGGTAATTACAGGGGCCTGAGAGCCTGGCTCTGCTGACCTGGCGCTGGATGGCTAAGGCTGGGAACCCACAGCCCGGCCCCGCTGGCACCCCACCAGCCTAGGGACTGGGCCAAGGCAGTCCCTGAGCCAGTGCTCTGGACTCAGGCACACTCACTCCTACTCACCCCCAGGCTTCCCCAGGGCAAGATCCTGCCCCCGTCTGCCCGCAGGAGGCTGTGATCTTCAGGAGCAGCTGGGCCTCAGGTTGCCCATTTCAGAAGTGGCCCAGAATCCCAAGACATCCCTGCTGGGTTCATTTCTGAATCTCAACTGGGTTTGTTCTACATCTGCTGGTCCCCTACTCCCAAGCCACCCTGCAAATCTGGGTCATTAATGGCAGAGCAGCTTACTGATCAGTCTCTGCAGAGACCATGAGGATGAGGCCCCCAGCCCAGAGCCTTGGCCCCTTAGAGAAACACCCCTCCCCACCCACGAGTCCTGCCCGCAGACCCCGCTAGCCCTAGAGAGACACCACCCTGGAGCTCAGAGTGTCCCCCTCCTCCCTGCTGTGTCTCTATGCCAAGAGTGGGCGGGGCCGGGCTGCCGGGCCTCTGGCCTGTGGTTCTAGTCTATCATTTGGGGCCAGCTTTACTGGAACCAGGCTCTGCCTGAGCAATCTGGGGGCTTTGCACGGCTACTCCTTCCCCAGCTCAGCCTCCCCAGCCCTGTCCTGGCCCAGGGACTCCCAAGACCACCAGGGGCCAGGGATAAGGTGGCCACAGCCTTATCGTGACCCACAGGGGGTGTGGCCAGTGGGTCATGATATGCCAGCCAGACACAGGATAAGGCAGGGGCCTGGGGAAGAGGGTGGGGAAGAGATAAGAGACCTCAGAATGGCTCCCCTCAAGCCCACAAACCCTCAGCCTTCTCCCCACGTGCTACTTCAGTAGCCAAGGCGGCCAGGGACTGCTGCTCCCCGCCTCGGATGGAAGCTGACGTGCAGAAGGTGAGCGGGACAGAGGCTGCAGGAGCCAGGCCGAGCTGGTCCCCAGGCTCCCACATCTGGCCTGTGTTCCCCACCTGCACCCCGACAACTCCCCACAAAAAGGCTGCAAGCAGTCACCCCTCAACACCCTAGCATCCCCACACGGATGCTGGAAACAGCTGTGTGACCAAGTAACCCCACCTCTCCCCAGGCACAGCCCTTTTCAGTTGACAAAGCCTGATCCTGCTCTTTGCCTCTTGGAAGCCCATTCAGGAACCCCATGCCTGACAGGGAAGGAATCACGAAGACCTCGTGGCTCTAGGAGTGGGAGTGGGGAGACCCTAGCATGGGCTCCAAGAGGGCAGAGGAAAGCGGGAGGCAGGAGGACAGGACCCTGTCCCCAGCCTCCAAGCTCTGGCTAGTGCCTCGTTCCAGGTTTGATTCTTGCCCCGATGCCGATGCTCTCCTCTCCTCTCCCCTGTGGCCCCACTCACCAACCTCCCAGCCACCAGGCGAGGACCAGGCCCAGAGCAGACCGGTGCTCTTCCTCACACGGCCTCACTGTGTGACCTGGGCCAGCCCTATCTGCAGAAGAGACAGGGCAAAGCTGCCACTGTGCCCTCTTGAATGTAGAAAAGCCATGTAGAAAAGCCGCTCTGCCCAGCTTGGGGGTTGCGCGGCCTCATTGTCAGGGCTGAGGACTGGGTAGACAGGGACTGCCTGACTACATCCTCCCATTTCCTTCCTGGAGACTCAGGCCCTGAGGCTCATTGTGAGCCCTGGTCAGAACAAAGAGACAGCACCAGCCACTGTCGGAGAAACCCTGATGTCAGCACAGGGGCCTGGCCCTTCACCTGAGCTGTCCAAACCTACCAGTGCCCTTTCAGCCCAGAAGGATGTGCTTTGGGTCAGGCAGGTATGAGTCAACCCAAGTCTCAGTCAACTGAGTCTGTGACTCAGTCAACAGAGCTCAAGCCTGGGGCAGTCTCCTATGCATGCGGGGGTCCCAGGTGTGACCATGGCTAGAGGGGGATGGTGACTCTCCATGGGGATAGGTGCTGTGATGGAGGCGGAGCAGAGCACAGTTCAAAACCGGGAGTTAGGCACTTGGTTCAACCCAGAGCACTGGAGACGGCATCCTGGAAAGAGGACACCGCTGAGACCCACCAGGGACAAGCGCAGTTGGCTACTGTAGCTCCCGGGAAGCAGATCTGGTTGTCCTGGGGAAAGGAGGTGCAGGCAGAGCCAGGGACCAGCAGACTGGAGTTCCTGAGACCAAGTGCACCACACTATCCTTGGGACCAAGACACTGACAACAGCAAGAGAGGGACAAAAATCATCTGTCATGGATTCAGGGATCAGAGAGAGTCAGAATTTGCCTCCAGTCACACAGTAAAGCTGGCGAAGGCTGGCAGAGCCAGGAACAGGAAGCTCAGCCCAGAAGACATTTGGAGCTTAAGAGGGAGCCCAGCCCCAGAAGCCTAGGGATCGGGCCAGTGTTCTCCTGGACTCCCTCACTCTCATCCCCCTTCTACCTTCAAGATTTCAGGCCCCCACAGGCAGAAACAAAAGCCACTTCCTATTGCAGAAGGTTCTGGGGAAGGGACAAGGAGCTCCTCCTCTGAGCAGCTCTGAACAGGGCAGCCTCCCTCTCAGAACAGGCTATCACCTGCAGACCTGCAGCCTTCCTGCCTCATCCACAAAATGAGAAACAGAGGCACAGGCCAGGCCCATCACCGGTCCAGGGCCCCAGACCAAGGTACTATGTTTCAAAGCACTTCCTCTGATGGATGACAGCACAGCGGAGGGGCTGGCAGAGCCTGCTGGAAGGTGCCTTGAAAAGGAAGCAGGAGCAAGGAAGTGGGCAGCAGGCAGTTAGTCACAAGGGCGCTGACATTCTAGACCACCTGGCGCTTCACCTGGGTGCTGAGCCTGCCAGTCAGACACTCTGGATGCCCTGCCCCTCACACCTCAGCTGGGGTTTCTCCACGGTGCAGATGTGGCAGTGGCCAGGACAAGGCCACCTAAGAGGGCAAGGCAGGGGCACTGTTTATCCTTAAGGTGGCCATCCTTATCTAAAGAGAGAGCCACAGAGCCACAAGACAGGGCCTGGCTTAGCCCCTACCCACCAGGTGACCCTGTAAAAGACCCTGGGCCTCAGTTTCCCCATCTTTCAATTCTGGATAGACTTAACAGGACAGACCAAAAAAAAAAAAAAAGCCAATAGGAGAGTGAGCCCCAGCCTGGCACCCCCTCCTCCTGCACCCAGCTCAGCTGCTCTGGGGAAGCCCCCAAGTCCCTCTCGGCTTGTGTTCCCAGCTGGGTCCCTATGCTCATCGCTCCTTCTGGGTTTGTGTTAGTGAGCAGTTGCCATGGATACCAGTCTCAGCTTCTTTGGCAGAAAAGGACTCCCCCAGGGCAAGGCTCTGCCTTTCCTCAACAGCCCCCACTCCACCCAACTCCAAGTGCCCAGGCTGCCCCAGGCTGGATCAAAGGGAAAGAAAATAGGTCTTGAGAAGAGAACAGGTACCCCACAGAAGTTGGGGAAGGATCTCAGTTCCCAAATAGTCATTCACCACCCATAAACAAGGCCAGGGCCACCTCCCTCTTGTGGGGCCTGGTTCCAGGAGCAAAATGCTGCCACCTACACCCTCAGCTCTGCTTCCATTTCACAGAGGTAAGAATGGCAGCCTGGGTGGCAGAGGTGGCTCTGGCACCAGGAAGCAGAGCTAGTTAGAGGGGGCGTGAGACCCCCGTCTGAGGGACTCCCTCCTTCTCCTGACCTTGCAGCTAGGAGTGGGCTCAGAATGCAGAGTGGGTGGCTGCTAGGGACCATAGGAGCAGGAGCCATGTGCCCTAGGGGAGCTCAAACTGCCTTGGCTCAATTAAACTGAAATTCATCTACCCAAAGGGCTCTTGCCTAAGCCAGCAGAGCCTCTGCGTTCCCAGGCCAGAAGCAAGGGTCATGCCCCTACCTCCACCTGGGGCTCCTGGGACTGGAGAGGATGCCGCTCTGGCTGGTGTGGCCCTGCTCCGCCCCCCGTGTGACCTTGGGTAAGTGTCTTTGTTCTCTGGATGGCTGTGTTCCCATCTGCGCAAGGAGGTGCAAGGAAGGATTTAGAAGAGGTTTCTGGGCTACCTCAATTTCATCCAATTGAAGCAACGCTCGGTAAGAAGAGCAAGCACAGGAGCCTGGCCCTCCTCACCCGCTCTGAGGCCTGCTGCCCTCAGGGGGTTCTCATGGGGCGGAGGAGAGGCCGTAATTAGCAGGTTCACCGGGTGGCGCTGGGGCAGAAGCTACTAGAGTTCCCAGGATGGAGACCAGCCCTGTGGAGAAGGGAGGGGCTTGCAAAGGTGTCCTGAAAGGACTGTCATAAACAGAACAAAAAACAGAACAACAACAACAAAAATCCCAGGAAAGGCATCGTGGCCAGCTTGAGCAGAGGCATGAAGGAGAAGGCAGCTGGCACTCGTGAAGCCCTCCTAGGAATCTGGCCCCGTCCCAGGTGCTCGAGATACAGTCTCATTTATCCCACGCAACCCGGGAGGCAGGCGGGAGGGGAATGATCACACAGAAGGCTCAGGTGATGTCTTCAAGGTCACACGGCTGGGAAGCTGAAGAGCCTTGGCTCGAACTCTGGCAACAAAGACTCTAGACCTGCACTGTCCACTCTAGTGGCCCCTGGCCACCGTGATATTGACATGTGCTGTGAATGGAAAATACACATACTGGGTTTCAAAGACTTAGTATGAAAAGGGAGGCAAAATATCCCATTAACAACATACATATGTGTGTGTGTGTATAATTTTTTTTTTTTTTTTGAGACAGAGCCTCACTCTGTCACCCAGGCTGGAGTACAGTGGCGCGATCTTGGCTCAATGCAACCTCCACCTCCTGGGTTCAAGCGATTATCCTGCCTCAGCCTCCCGAGTAGCTGGGACTACAGGTGTGCACCACCATGCTAGCTAATTTTTGTATTTACTTTAGTAGAGATGGGGGGTTTCACCATGTTGACCAGGCTGGTCTCGAACTTCCGACCTCAGGTGATCCACCCGCCTCGACCTCCCAAAGTGCTGGGTTTACAGGCGTGAGCCACCGCGCCCAGCCCTAACAACTTTTATATTGATTACATGTTGAAATATGTTGGATATATTGAGTTAAATAAAATATATTATGAATTAATCACACCTATTTCTTGTACTATTTTAGTCCGGCTACCAGAAAATTTGACAGGAATATGTGGCTTACATTATATTTCTTTTGGACAAAGCTGGTCTACACTATGAAAAAACAGATTTAAAGGACAGAGTTAAAGAAGGAGAGTGGGACCTCCCTTCCATCTTTGGTGGGGAGCTGGGGCCAGGTAGGTGCAAGCATCAAAGACTGAGCAATTGAGTCTCTGCATCCCCATCTCTGTCCCAGCTGGGCCAGCCAGCAACAGGTGCACTCAGGCCTGGGATGAGCACTCCCCTGGCCCTAGCACATCAAGCCATAGTAGTTACCATAGAGATAATAAATATTCCTAAAAACTGAACTTGGGGAAGTGGAGATGGGGAAATCTACCATAGAGAGAGGGGCAACCAGGCTTATCCGGAGAGGAAACCTGTGTCTGTTGTGTGTTGGGGGTGGGGTGGTGTGTGAGCTCCCACTCCAGGCCAGGAGAGGGAGGGAGGCACAGCCCAGGCAAGTGTTTGCACAGGACTTTCCGGGCCTTCCTCCCTAACTGCCCCACGCCCCTCTTAGCCACCACTCCCCACCTCCCTTTACCAATTCACCACAAATTTCCTATCTCATTCCCCCATGCTGACAATCTGACTCAGAGACCTGAGTAGAAGTGGGAGCAGATAAGTGCCAGCCCTCCCTGATCCCACCCTCTCTGGCTCTGCCCCTGGCAGAGGCAGTTCCCCTAAGAACGTCAAAGGGGGTGGTCTGGGGCCAGAAAAAAAACAAGTTGGAGAGCGCTACAGTGCCAGAAGTAGTACCATTCCTTCTTCAGCTGAGAAAGGGTGGGAAGACCTCCTCCCAGGCAGAGCCTTACTGTTAGAGCTAACACCAGCTTTGCCAGTCACTTTCCTGGCCATCTTGAACGGGGGCTGTACAGGGACATTGGTCCCCCTATCTGTGTACAGAAGCCTTTTGTGAACTGACTACAGGTCCCAGGTATTCTCTGATTTCTCCCCCAAAGGATGGCGCTTATGCTCCCAGGTCCCCGGCAGCATGGTGCATGCGTGACAGCGGCTGGCGTTTTTGGGAGGTGCTCAATATTCCTGCTCTCTAGACCAAAGTAAGTTTCTCTTTGGGATAGCTCGACCCAGAAACTGATGCCACTGGTACCCACTTCCAATTTCCTCCAGCGGAAGGACAGAGAGCCAAGGGGGGTTGAAAGCAGGAATGGGGGGAGGGGGAAGCCTCTGCCCTCCCATCAGAATTCTTCCCTTCCATTTGACACAAAACTCCATTCAACAGACGGGGAGACTGAGGCCCAGAGAAGGCACCAGGTGGCATGTGGTTTATGCCCGGGCTCTCTTCCCTCAATTGCCGCAAAGTTCTCTTTAGAGTCTGTCCAAAAATAAATCCTTCCCTCTCTCCTATCTCCTCTCTCTCTCTGTTGTGTGTGTGTTTGATAGCTCCAGATTTTACTAAGCTATAGTTACGCAGGTTCTGGGCCAGCATGCCAGGCACACAGTACTGCTCTCCTCCTGCAGGGAGCCCCTTCCTATGCCAGTCTGGCCAAAGTCCTTCCCTCTCAAAGCTCCACCATTCCCAACCAGTAGCAGCTCAGTCTAGGGCAAATTCTTACCCCTAGACCCACCCCTAATTGCTGGGGAAGGGAGCCAGCAGAAGGCAATTCCAGAACCACGTGCGTCCCCCAAAGGCCCAATGATCAATCAACTCACAAACGGGCAAACAGACCTAAACACACGCTGAGACTGGCCCAAGGTCACACACCAAGCACATTAGGAGCAAAGCTGGGGCTAGAACCCAGTTGTTCTATCGATCCCAATCCCGTCCCCAAGGCTGATTCCCAGAGATGCTCCCTGAGGATGAGGCTCCACGTCTCTAGCTCCAGAGGCCTGCGCCCTACCCTACACCCCAAGCACCATAGAGCAGGGGGAGGCGTCTCCAGGCCTCTGTACAGGGCCAGCTGCAAACCGCAGCCTGGGTCCCCAGGCGCCGCGGACCCGCCCCGCCCCTCCCTCCGCTCCCCGCAGCCCGGAGCCTTTGTCAGCCACGCGCTCACACACAACCGCGCCGCCACGCGCACACACACCCGGTCTCCCTAGCGCACACCCGCAAGGGGCGCGCGCACTCGCCGCACGCACGCAGGGGGGTGGAGGCGGCGGAGAAAGGAAGGAACTGACGGGCCATGGACGGACAGACGACCTGGGCTGGGGGAAGGGAAGGGAAGGAGGCCCGGGAACCGGCAGCTGGGGTCGGAGGGGGCGCAGAGACAAGGAGACAGAGAGACGCAGAGGAGACTCTTGGAGAGGAGGACAACGGATGGGCCGTCAAGGGCTGGAGAGGACGCGCGGGCTGCTCCAGGGGTGGGGACTCCTCTATCCCTTGGCCCCGGGTGTGTATGAGCGGGGAGCTGGATTGTACCCGTGGTGCACGGAGGCATCCCTTGCCCAGTTGTGCCTGAGCAGAGGGTCCGTAGGGACCTCACGTAGGGCCTGGAGATAGCAGGCCTGAGACCAAAAGCTCTCTGGGGTACCTCCCTCGAGGCGGGTGGTGGGATGGGGTGGGGTCTTGGTCCTCGGGCTGGGTGGGGCACTCGCTCACCTGCCACGGTGTACCTGTCCAGGTAGTTGAGCACGTTGCCCAAGCTGAGGATGGCGGCGGCTGCCCCCCGCCCGCGGCCCAAGCTGGCCGGTTTGGGCTGCTGAGCGCCGGGGCCCTTTGCAGTAGCTGCGCAGCCGGGGGTGCCGGGGGTGCCGGGGGGTCCGGTCGGGGCCCGCCTTACGCTGCCCGACAGCGTCTGCACCTCATCGCCCGCGGCCGAGACTCCAGCGCCGCCCGCGCCCCGCGCCCCGCAGCAACCGCTACCGCCAGCCCCTCGCTGCGCCCCCCGGCGCCGGCGCCGCCGCTCCGCGTCCGCCTCCTCCTCCTCCGCGCCGCCCGCCGCCGCCGAGGCGCATTCCAGGCACATCATGCCGGCCCGGATCGGGGCGGCGGGGGGCGCGGGGGGCGCGGGGCCCAGGCTGGGCCCGCTCAGCGCGTGCGTGCGCCGCGGAGCCGCCACTGCACCATCCTGGTCGGGCCCCGTCGGCTCCTGCGCTCCGGCCCCGGCTGCGGCGCTGCCACCGCTCAGCTCGCTGCGCCTCGTTCGCCGCCGCGGCTCTGACAGCTGCGGCCCGGCCCCGCCCACCAGGCCCGCGCCCAATCAGCTCCGGGCTCGGGCCACAGCCCCGCCCCGCACGTGCTGCCCTGGGGGTGGGGGGCCCGGGGACTGGGGGCCCGGGCGGCAGAGCCCCTCCTGCCAATGGGGGCGCAGTCACGCCGGGGCCGACCGGCCGCGAACGCCCGCGGGGAGCGGGAGAGGGTTTGCTCTGGCTACGGAGCTGGGAGCAGGGTGCTGGTGACGGGGCTCCCAGCACCTACTCAGTACCCTTCACCCAACCCCTGCCTCGGGCGTGGACTCCCGGCGGAGGCTCTGGGAGCCGGGCTGAGGGCTTGAGCCTAGCGTATCTGGGAGAACTGGAGAGAGGAGTCTCAGATGGCTAAAGTCAGGGGCGCCAGTTGGAGAGCCGGTGGCTCCTCCGATACTCACACGCCCGGATTTAACCAGTTCAGGGAGGGCCCAGAACCTAGACCTCCACCAGTCATGGTGGGCTGTGTCTCCCACCTCCCCAGGGCAACCCAGATCCAGCCCCCAACCTACCCCGGGCCCATTCCTGTGTGGGCACCCGGACCCTACCCTTGCCCCACAGAGTGGCCCGCAGCCCCTGGCGGGGAGAGCAAGGGCTGTGATTGGGGCCCAACAGAAACAGGATATTCAGAAGGGGCTTTCCCTCCTGAGGGACCACATCTCCAAGCTTCAGACTTCCAGGTATGTGCTAGAGAGGGTACAAAGCCCCCAGTGGCAGACAGGAGGCTGGGTCCTAGCTCAGCTCTGCCCTGGTGTGTGGCATGATCCTGAACATGACACCCACTCTCTGGGCCTCCATTTCTGTATCTGGGGGCAGATGGCAGGATGGGATTCAGTCTGGAAATCCACGGGTGGTCACCTCCCCTTGGTGGGACGGGGCGGGGGTCTGCCTCCTATGGAGAGTGGTTGGGGTGCTTCTGTGTTCCTGACATCCCATCACGGTTTCACCCCTCCTTAGAGGTGCTGTGGCTCTGTGACGATCTCCCCCTTCCCTCCCCCATTCACCTGTTTGGGGAATTAAAATCGAAATTAAAATCCTGTATAAAGTGCAGAGGACAGAATGTTAGAACTGGACAAACCCTCGGAAACCAGTTAATCATTCCCTGTGTTTCACAGACAAGTCCCAGGGCACGGACGTGACCCATTACGAACAGGCAGTGAAGCTGTGGCAGGGCTGGAGCTGCCCCAGGCTCTGGCATCATCCCCGAGGGCTGGAGCTCACTCCCCGCTAGAGGCTTTTCCGGACCCCACGTCCACAGGCAGGTGCATCTGGTGAAGCTTTCGGCCACAGTGAGTCATGGCATAGCCAACGGGTGACACAGCACGAGGCACCCCCCCCGCCCCCCTCCACTGTCTCTTGTGAGCAGAGTTAATCCCCAAGCTGGTGTTTCTTGGCGCCTTCGAGGTGTATTTTAAATTCTGCAAAGTGACTAAAAATATGCTTCAGCGTGCTGGGTATGAATGACTGTGACGGGAGGGTTAGGAAAACAGATTTCATTCTCAAAGTTGCCTGCTGCCTCTTTCCAGCTCGCTGAGCTCAGGCCTGCAAAGGCGGATGGGGGGAGTTCCCCATGGTGGCCTGGCATGACGGGTGATTAACAAACAAGGACAGAGAGCTAGGAGCTCCGTGGGGCTAGAACCCGGCCCCAGCAATGATCTCGTAAGTGTGTGATGGTGCCAGCAGGTGGACAGAGTCCAGCTGTGGGAGGCTGCCCAGCTGTGGAACTGTGTCTAGTGGTGAAGGAGGCACAACCACAACTCTAGACCCAAGCCCAGGGTCCCCTTCCCGTGCCCCAAAACTCCTCATCCCTTTGGCCACAGTCCTGTCCAGGTGGACACTTTCGGCCTTGACAGAAAGGGGAGCATTCTCTTTCTGCTGCCTTCCCTTTTCACCACTGGGAAGGTCCCAGAGCAGGGGAAGAGGGTGGCATGAGCCTTTCAAACCTGGGGGACCTCTGAGCTGCCACCAAGCAAGCCAGCCCTTCCCACTGTGTTTCACTGGGGTTTCAACTCAAAGGCAGCCTCTAGAATAAGTCCTTGTGTGGGATAAGGGGCCACCAAGGGCAGAGGGACAGGGAGGACAAGAAGCCCTTTCTGGTTGTGCAGCCCAGGACAAATCCCTACAGCCTTCTGAGAAGCTCTGGCAGTAACCTGGGGCTGTCAGACAGAGGACTGGTAGGGTTCTTTCCTCCATCTCGCCAATGAAGAAACTGAGGCCCAGGGAAAAGAAGTAATTTGCCCAAGGTCGAACACCTGGTAAATGACAGTGCATGGACTAAACCCAGGTGTGTTTACCCTCTAATCCAGCACTTCCTCCACTGCACGCTGCCCTCAGACTGGGCGGGATTCTGTTTCTTCATCAGTATAACAGGAGGCTGAACTCCGTGGCTAAAGGACCTTCTGATATTCATTCATTAGGTCTAGATCACAGCTTCAAAACAAATGGGGGCCGGCGTGGTGGCTCATACCTGTAATGCCAGCACTTTGGGAGGCCGAGGTGGGTGGATCACCTGAGGTCAGGAGTTCGAGACCAGCCTGGCCAACATGGTGAAACCCGGTCTCTACTAAAAATACAAAAATTAGCCAGGCGTGGTGGGGCGCGCCTGTAATCCCAGCTACTTAGGAGGCTGAGGCAGGAGAATTGCTTGAACTTGGGAGGCAGAGGTTGCAGTGAGCCAAGATCATGCCACTGCACTCCAGCCTCGGTGACAGAGTGAGACTCCATCTCAAAAACAAAAACAAAAACAAAAAACAAAAGTGGGGGGAAAAAAAGAAAAGAACACACACAAAAAAGAAAAAAATGGGGCACAGAACATTAATGGCCATTATTCAAAGAGCAGTCATACTTGGGAAGTAGTGGGATAAACACAGAAAAGTAGGTTTCCTTAGGGACTTTTGAGAGCCTTTACTATGAGAATACATGCTCTGAGTCTCCCAGAGGGAGATATAGGATGCCACGTTCCCAGGTGTGTGTGACCACAGAATGTCTTGCAAGACGAGAGCTCTGCAGGACACACTCTGAGAAACACTGGCCTAGAATGCACTTGCTCCTCCTTGGCTGGTAATTGGGAGCTCAGCCCATCTGCCCTCTGCCCATCCTCCCACATGGGAGTGTCTCCAGGGCTCAGGCCTCGGTTGTTTCCCTTCCCCCTTGGCAGCCTCTCACCTAGGCCTGAAATTTACTTTTTTTGAAAAAATTTTTAAGAGGCAGGGTCTCTCTCTGTCACCCAGGCTGGAACGCAGTGGTGCAATCATAGCTCATCATAACTTTGACCTCTTGGGCTCAAGGGATCCTCCTTAAGAAGGGGCTTCCTGATGCTGGGCGCGGTGGCTCATGCCTGTAATCCCAGCACTTTGGGAGGCCAAGGCGAGCAGATCACTTGAGGTCAGGAATTCAAGATCAGCCTAGCCAACATGGAGAAACCCCATCTCTAGTGAAAACACAAAAATTAGCTGGGTGTGGTGGCATGCGCCTGTCATCCCAGCTACTTGGGAGGAGAATTGCTTGAACCCAGGAGGCGGAGGTTGTAGTGAGCCGAGATCACACCACTGCACTCCAGCGTGGGTGACAGAGTGAGACTCTGTCTCAAAACAACAACAACAACAAAAAACAAAAAAACAAAAAACAAAAAAAAGAGAGCCAAGACAGACAGGAGCAAAGACAGAGAAACGGAGACTTTCATATTCCAGCCTGGGTGACAGAGCAAGACTCCATCTCAGGAAGAAAAAAATAATAATAAAAAATAAAAATATATATATAAAAAAGAAGAGTCTTCCTCTCCTGAGGATCCACACCTCAGCTTCCCAAAAGGCTGGGACTATAAGCGTGCACCACCACACCCAGCAATTTTTTTTTTAGGAAAAAGGTCTCACTATGTTGACCAGGCTGGTCTCAAACTCTAGGGCTCAAGTGATCCTCCCACCTCAGCCTACCAAAATGCTGGGGTTAGAGGGGTGAGCACCATGTGCAGCTGTGGCCTCAACTTTCAATGATCATCCATGTGACTATGACACCCCAACCTCCATCTCTAGACAGGGCCTCATCTCCAAACACGAGATCCATATGCAGCCTCCTACACGTGCCCCCCACCAGATATCCCACATGTACCTTAGGCTCAGCACATTTGAAACTGAACTTGTCATCCTTCCCCCAACCTGCTCCCACTCTGGTATCATTTATCTTTTGTCAAAAACACCATCATCCACACTGTCGCCAAGCAGAAAGCCTGGGAGCCATGTGGGGCTCCTTCTCCTCAACAGCCACATCTAAGGGCTTTCAATTTCCTCTCTTGAACATCTCCCCACGTCCACATTGCCCACTGGCTTAGCTCAGGCCTCTCTGTGTCTTACCTGGACCCTTGTAAAGCTCAACATTACCTGTTCCCACATCCCCCTCCAGTTTTGTTTGTTTGTTTTTTGAGACGGAGTCCTGCTCTGTCACCCAGGCTGGAGTGCAATGGCACAATCTCGGCTCACTGCAACCTCTGCCTCCTGGGTTCAAGCAATTCTCCTGCCTCAGCCTCCTGAGTAGCTGGGATTACAGGTGTGCACCACCATGCCCGGCTAATTTTTTTTATTTTTAGTAGAGACGGGGTTTCATCATGTTGGCCAGGCTGGTCTCGAACTCCTGGCCTCAAGTGATCCACCCACCTTGGCATCCCAAAGTGCTGGGATTACAGGCGTGAGCCACTGTGCTCGGCCGGCCCTCCAGTCGTTTCTCCATATTGCTTATCAGTCACTTTCTGAATCCCACAAAGGACCTCATCACTACCTTGAGCAAAACCTTTCTAAGGCTCTTCACTGGCTATAGGGTTAAAAATGTCTACGTTCCTGGCCGGGCGCAGTGACTCACGCCTGTAATCCCAGCACTTCGGGAAGCCGAGGCGGGCGGATCACGAGGTCAGGAGATCGAGACAATCCTGGCTAACATGGTGAAACCCTGTCTCTACTAAAAAATACAAAAAATTAGCTGGGCGTGGTGGTGGGCGCCTGTTGTCCCATCTACTCGGGAGGCTGAGGCAGGAGAATGGCGTGAACCCAGGAGGCGGAGCTTGCAGTGAGCCGAGATCGCGCCACTGCACTCCAGTCTGGGTGACAGAGCGAGACTCTGTTTCAAAAAAAAAAACTACATTCCTTAATGATCTCCAAGAGCCTTCACAACTTTTCACAACCCATGACAATCTCCAGCCTCAGATCCTACGGCCCATCTCTCAAAATTACCCTCTGCCACACTGAACATGGAGCTTCTTGAACTCACAGTTATAATACTTCCTGGAGCCTGGGGGAGGGGCAAGAATTGGGGCACTATTCTATAGCCCCTGTCCTCCTATCAACAAAAAAGCCCTTGTCCCACTAGCACAGCGATGATTCAGGACCATGGAGAGCATCCCGCGTGCAACCCCTGACCCCGACCCTGACTGAGGCATGCTCTGCCTGTGTGGCCTATTCACTCTTCCCACTTGTCCTTCAGGAACCCAGCACAGAAACAGCTTCCTCCGGGAAGCCTTCCCCGGCCCACCTGAACAACCATTTCCTCCTCTGGGCTATTGAGTAACCTGTGTATCCTTCCATCACACCAACACTGTGCTGATTTTTGTCTGTGCAAGAATCTGTCCCCCGCCCTTCACCAACAGACCGTGAGCCTCGAGGGCCCGTACCCTTTCTGATTCATCTCCACGAGCCAGTACAGAGGAGGTGCTCAAAGAATGTTTGTTGATTGAATGAGTAAATGACATTTAGCAGGTGCTCAGGAAATGTACATTGATTTGCATCACGCGTCTGTTGCTCTGAATGACTCAGAAACCAGATTCGTCTCCTGGTTCCTCTGGAAAAGGCATTTTCTTCCTGATTGACTCCACCCTCCATTAGCTTCCACCTGCTGTTTGCCTCCACCCTTTGATTAGCCTTCCCCGCAGGTCACCACCCACGGTGGGGAGAAGGCACCTCCTCTCTGCTCTTGCTGTTGCCAAGCTGAGGACTGGTTGGGGCCCCCGTTCCCTCCCCCAGCCCGAGCCTATCTTTGCTCAGAACGCTTCGTCTCTGCCTCTCTCTCCTGCTCAGAACAGATGGCTCTGAGTCCCCACTAACACAGAAGTTCCTGTTCTGCCATTTGAACATTTTTAACACTTTCTACATTACAGAAGCTTCAGTCTCTTTTCATCATGGATGCAGACTATCAGAAATAAAGACTCCACCGAAGGGCATCGAGTCCAGCCTCTTCCCCATCCCATGGAGAGGCTGCACCTCAGAGATGGCCAGTGGCCTGCCCGAGATATTGTAGTGGATGCTACCTTTGTTTTTGTTTTCTGTCATCTTGTTTTCTTTCTTCTTCTTTTTTTTTTTTTTTCCAAGAAGGAGTTTCACTCTTGTTGCCCGGGCTGGAGCACGATTTCAGCTCACTGCAACCTCCGCCTCCTGAGTTCAAGCGATTCTCCTGCTTCACCCTCCTGAGTAGCTGGGATTACAGGTGCGCACCACCAAGCCCAGCTAATTTTTGTATTTTTAATAGAGACGGGGTTTCTCCATGTTGGCCAGGCTGGTCTTGAACTCCTGACCTCAGGTGATCCACCTACCTTGGCATCCCAAAGTGCTGGGATTACAGGCATGAACCACCGCGCCCAGCCTGTCATCTTGTTTTAATTCCTGTTTTGTTTTGGTGCTGAGACTTCCTTCCTCTTCCTAACGGCACACTGGTCTGCTGGTCTTAATGCGGCTATAAACCAAGGCATGGGTATAGGATCCAAGCTAACCCAACTGGAATCTCTTGCCCAGGGCTTTAAATCTTGAGGAGGGTGGCAAAAGAATAGGGATAAAATATCTGGAGTTCTGGCACAGACCCCAAAATAATATGGCCCAGGAACCCTGGCTCCTGAATCTCCAACCTTCTCATCAATTCTATGAGTTCCTGATGTGCTTTCAATGCATCCTTTGCCTGGTAGAGGTAGTCAGTCTGTTTCCGTTGCATACAACCCCACAACCCAAACTGATATGGTCACACAGGAGCACACGCAGTCACACACCTGTCTGTGCTGAGATAAAGCATGGCTCCCGGAACCTCCAGCTGCCTGCTGCCAGCTTTGTCTGTAGAGGCTGCATTAGATTAAACAACCTCCCAAGCCCACCCAGGCACAAAGCAAAGTCAAACACTTCAGGGAATGAAACAGACCAATATTTGATGTTGCAGAGCAACAAGCCAGGGTTAGGGTGTGGGAATCCAGACACACAGGTTCAACCCCCTCAACCTTCAGGACAAAGTGGAAAAAGAGCTTTTAGGCCAGGCGCATTGGCTCACACCTGTAATTGTAGTACTTTGGGAGGCTGAGGCGGGTGGATTGCCTGAGCTCAAGAGTTCGAGACCATCCTGGCCAACATGGCAAAACCCTGTCTCTACTAAAAATATGAAAAATTAAGGCTGGGTGCGGTGGCTCAAGCCTTAATCCCAGCACTTTGGGAGGCCGAGGCAGGCAGATCCCCTGAGGTCGGGAGCTTGAGACCAGCCTGACCAACATGGAGAAACCCCGTCTTTACTAAAAATACAAAATTAGCCGGGCGTGGTGGATGCCTGTAATCCCAACTGCTTGGGAGGCCGAGGAAGGAGAATCGCTTGAACCCGGGAGGCGGAGGTTGCAGTGAGCTGAGATTGCACCATTGCACTCCAACCTGGGCAACAAGAGCAAAACTCCGTCTCAAAAAAAAAAAAAAAGCTTTACTAATACCTGTTGGTATTGGTTCCAATAGCTAGCATACCCCCATGTGGCCACACGCCAACATGGTGATGCACACACAGGTACAGGCACACGCACACAGAGATACCTCCATGCCTGGATAATACCTGACAGCTGGAATGCAGCTTATGTCTGGAAAGAGCAATTAACACATAAAGAGAGTCAGGTCAGGCTTAAGGACTCATCCTGCTGAACAGCATTTTTCCTCCTCTTGACATTCCCAACAAACAAGTCCAGAGTATTCGTGGCTGAGATTACCCAACAAGGGCCTTTAGGCGAGGAAGATGTGTTCTGTTTACCAGACTCCACTCCAGCCTGAGTGGCTGGGTTCCCCCAGGCTGTTATCGTAACCTCGACCCACCAGGACTGGCCCCAAAGAGGCAGGAGGTGGGAGTCTGGGTTGGCTGCAGAGGAGATATTGGTCTCTGTCACTTGCCGCGTCCACCAGCCCCAGAGCTCCCACTCTGCCCCAAACCACTTTAGACAATAGCTTCCTATAAACTCCCAGCTGGGCACCTCGTGTGGCTCAGCCTTGGGAAGTACCGCCTTGCCCTGCCCAGCAACCCAAATATCAGAATGCACTTGAGTCATAAGAAACTACCCTGGATTATAGGATTAAAGCCCCAGCTCCTGGACCTACATCTGACGCCCCTCTGATCCCAGATGGCCTCTCTCACCTCCTCTCCCCGCTCAATGACACACGCACCCTCCTCTCTGGCCATACCACACCCCTCCATGACTCACTGCAAATCTTCTGCCCCACTCTCCCCCTCTTTGTGGGTCCATCCCCTGCATCTAGAATTCCCTTTGCCCCCCACCTTGTTACCAACTCCAAAGCCACTTCCTTGAAGGCTTCTGGGGCACGGAAGCCCTTACTCTGCCCATAGGTGTGCCACACTTGCCTGTCCTGCTGTGGGCTGCGAGGTCCAAGGGCAGGGCTGGAGTCTGATTCACTGCTGGACACCCTGATGGGCACCCGCCGATACCAATGCATGTTTGTAGAGTTGGCATGAACGAGGTTCTTGCTCTTCCTCTACTGGACTCTGGGTGGGGAGGTGGCAGCTGGTGTTCTTTTTTTTTTTTTTTTTTAAGACAAAGTCTCACTGTGTCACTCAGGTTGGAGTGCAGTGGTGCCATCTCCCTTCACGACGAACTCCACCCCCCATCCCCAGGATCAAGCGATCCTCCCACCTCAGCCTCCCAGAGCTGGGACCACAGATGCGTGCCACCACGCCCAGGTATGTTTTGGTATTTTTGGTAGAGACGGGGTTTCACCATGTTGCCCAGGCTGGTCTTGAACTCCTGACCTCAAGCAATACATCAGCCTCTGCCTCCCAAAGTGTTGGGATTACAGGCGTGAGCCGCTGTGCCCAGCTGAGTGTTCTGACCCTTGGGCGGCCCTCACTCATTTTCCGGGAGCCTCGCCTTGCAGGGGTCCTCCCTGGGGCTGTTGGGAGGAAGGTTCAGACCCTGGAGCTGGGCTTCTGTGGGTCTAGACCCAGCCTGTGCTAATCACATGAGGCCCAGGCTAGAAAGCCATGTCAACACACCTCTCAAACACAGCCAGGGAGTCAGGGAGCCACCTAGGTCACACAGCCAGTGAATGTTGAGAGGGACCGTGGCATCCTGGCTCCTGCCCAGTTGCTGCCTCCTTCTCAGGAAAAACAAAATATCCTCACAGATCTTTTACCTTGTAACTTGAAGGGCTGCCTGTTGCATAAGCTCCAAGCATTGAGTCACGGTCAAGGGCCTGGCTAGCCTGCAGGGAGGGCTGGCTGTGGTGCGGCCCTGCTCCTGGGGCTTGTTGCAGCCAACAGGGAGGGCTGGGGGGCACCCCACAGAAGGCAGGGACAGAGCAGCAAGCATCAGGGGCTGCGCAGGAGTCTCGGTCGTTGCTCTGCCTGCAGCTGCTGGGAGACAGGCACAGCCTGGCACAGCGAAGGTGGCCATCGGTGAGTGAGCAAGTGATCGCCTGGCTGGGCACCAGGGGAGGCGGAAAGAACATGAGAACAAGCCTCCCCACTGCTGCCCGCCTGGAAGCTGTCGATCTCCCACAGGGCCCGCTGAGCCCAGCTGCTCTGAACCCAGTGGCAAGCGTGGGCCCCGCAGAGCCAGCCCTCCCCATACGCTGTGCTGGGGTCAGAGCGTGGACCCAGGGAAGACCGGGGCTACAGAACTGGGCAGGCCAGGAGGATCCCTGCACGGCCACTCAAGTCCTCAGCAGGGTTCTGGGGCCGCTGCGCCCGTGTCTGTATAGGCGTGGGTTCCTCTGCGTGGTTCCCTGGAACTTGGAGCCACATCCCCACCCCAGCACCCAAGTGGAAACTCATCTCCAAGAGCAAGATTCAGCCCCCACGTTTTGTTCAAAGGGTGGAGTTGGCTGGGCACGGTGGCTCATGCCTATAATCTCAGCACTTCGGAAGGCCGAGGCTGGCGGATCACCTAAGGTCAGGAGGTCAAGACCAGCCTGGCCAACATGGTGAAACCCTGTCTCTACTAAAAATACAAAAATTAGTTGGGCGTGGTGGCACATGCCTGTAATCCCAGCTACTTAGGAGGCTGAGGCAGAAGAATCTCTTGAACCTGGGAGGCGGAGGTTGCAATGAGCCGAGATTGCGCCACTGCACTCCAGCCTGGACAAGAGCTAAACTCCATCTCAAAAACAAAACAAAACAAAGAGTGGAATCACGTAGAGGGTGTCCTGTGCCTGTGACTTTGCAGAATGGAGAAGCTGGGTCAGAGTGGGAGGTCCAGGCTGCGGACCCCTAGAGACCCATGCTGAGCCAGCCCCCCAGCTTCCCCACTTCAGGACAGCCCTGCATCCTTGGCCTGGACTGCCCATCCCGTCCTCACCCACTTCCCCTCCAGCAGAGGCACGAGAGGCTATAAATAACACGGCTGTCTACAGGCCCAAAATCCATGGGCTTTGTACTGGCCTCTCTTTATTCAGGGCCCAGCAGCAGCCAGGCTGGAGACCCCAGGCTGGGGCAGCCTTGAGCGGGATGCAGGCACAGGCCCAGGCCTCCCACGCAGAGTGCTGACAGCTCCATTCCCAGCCCAGCCACAGGGTCCTGCCAGCTCTCCAGCCGGGAATTCAAAAGTGGCAGATGTGCCTCAGCCGGAGTCCCCGAGGACAGCCAAAGAGGAACCGAGGCACTGCTGCTGTGGGGACCAACGGGAGGCTTGCAGGCAGGACGAGTGTAGGCAGGGACCTCAGGGCTCCTCTGTAGAGGCGCCAGCGCCCGAAAGTAGGCCTTGTCTCTCCAGGTCGTTGCTGTCCACATCATTGCTGTCTGGGGTCCCTGCAGGAGGAAAGATGCTCAGCCTGCCCGAAGGTTGCAGAAGGTGCTTTGGGACCAGGCCTGGGCCTGGGCACGGGCTGTCAGGAAATCCTCTCTGTCCCAAATGCAGAATACATTCCAGATCCAACCCCTTGTCATCACCTTCAATGCCACTGGCGTGGTCTAGGCACCACTCTCCCCTGGAAGGGGAGTCGGCTATGCCTCTCGGCCTCAACACTGACCCTCCTACAGTCTGTTCTCAACACAGCAGCCAGGGAGATGCTTTGGCAACATCAATCAGACCACCTCGGTGCTCCTCTCCTGGAAGCCCCACAGCAGCTCCCGTCTCACTCTGAGCAAAAGCCACTGTCTTTACAAGGACTGCCTGCTCTGGCCCCGTATCCCTCACCCCTACCACTGTCCCTCTTGCTTCTGCTGCAGCCACACTGGCCTCCTTGCTGATCCTCAAACATATCAGGTGCATTCCCATGGCAGGGCCTTTGCATTGATTGTCCCCACTGCCGGAAGCGTCTTTCCCCAGGTCGCTGAACGGCTCACTCCCTCGTTTCCTCCAGATCTTTGCTCTAGTTTCGCCTGTGCAGTGGGGATCCTTGCAGCCTGCACCTACCTGTCCCTTTTTTTTTTTTTTTTTTTTTTTTGAGACAGTCTTGCTGTCGCCCAGGCTGGAGTGCAGTGGCGAGATCTCAGCTCACTATAGCCTCCGCCTCCCGGGTTCAAGTGATTCTCCTGCCTCAGCCTCCTGAGTAGCTGGGACTACAGGTGTGTGCCACCGCACCTGGCTAATTTTTATATTTTTAGTAGAGACAGGGCTTCACCATGTTGCCCAGGCTGGTCTTGAACTCCTAACCTTGTAATCCGCCCGCCTTGGCCTCCCCAAGTACTGGGATTACAGGTGTGAGCCACCGCGCCCGGCCCCTTTCTCCTTCCTTTCCTGCTTTATACCTCTCCATAGCACTCGTCACCCTGAACATGCTATATCTTTAACCTTTTCTGTTTCTGGTCTGTCTTCACCAACTACAGTGTCAGTTTCTACAGGGGCCTGGACTTGGCCTCATTCTTTCACTCCCCAGCATCTGCAACCTTCCCTGGTACATAGCAGGGGTGTACTAAGCATTTCTGGATGAATGAACAAACAAACTGGCCAGGGATTCAGGGGGTGGCCAGTGCTGTCTGTCCCTAGGGTGCCGGCCCTGAGCCGGGCCTGGTGCAATGGGTAGGGTACCTGTGACAGGCTGCCAGGCCCGGGTCTCGTCTCTCTCCAGGTACAGCGCAGTCAGCAGGAAGCAGCCGCCCCCCAGGGCGATGACAAAGGCGCAGCACAGGAAGCTCTGCTGCAGGCTGCGGAAGCGCTGCAGATAGGAGTCAGGGCGCCTGGCCCGCAGGACACTAGAGATCTGCGGAGGAGAAGGGATGAGTCTGCCAGGCCCACCAGCCTGGCCCCCAGACCCTCCCCACCCCACACACGCAGACACGTCTTACAAGTCCTGTGAGATAGGGGCTGCCAGCGTCTCCCAGGATGTGGCCCACCGTGATCTGAAGTGCCTCTGCCGTCCCCCGGCATCTGGGCACCACCACAGACTGCAAAACATAGGCACAGCAGGGGGGCACCCCAAGTGAGGGCACCCTTGCCTGCTGTTCCCCACCTGCCAAGGACCTGCCTGGAGGAGTGACAGGCCATTCAGGTGAGTGGGATGGGAGGGAGTCGACGGTCCCCAAGGTCTAAAGTCCCACCCCAGAACATCAAGACATCAAGCCCATCTGAAGCTTCCCCAGTGCCCCAGGATGGGGGTGCCAAGGCCCCTGATCAGGGCCACCCCTCTTGAGAGTTTGCTCTTGAACTGGGAAGGAACCAGGCATGCATGTGACCACAGTGAATGAGGCTGGGGTGTCCCAGCTCAGGGGCCCAGGATGCAGCAGCACAAGCGGGCAGGGCGAAGAGCGGGTGCATGCCAGGTGTCTGCATGTGCAGGCAATTGGGCAGGGGTGGTACGGAGGGCTCAGTCCTCTCAGGAACCTCAAGGCCCCTGGGGCAGAGACCAAAGGCGGCCTTGCTGGAGAAGCCCGCACGACTCCACGGACAAGGCTGAGAACATAAAGAAGATGAACTCTGGGCCAGGCGCGGTGGCTCACGTCTGTAATCCCAGCACTTTGGGAGGCCAAGGCGGGTGGATCACCCGAGGTCAGGAGGTCAAGACCAGCCTGGCAACATGGTGAAACCCTGTCTCTACTAAAAATACAAAAACTAGCCGGCGTGGTGGCACATGCCTGTAATCCCAGCTACTCGGGAGGTTGAGGCAGGAGAATTGCTTGAACACGGGAGGCGGAGGTTGCAGTGAGCTGAGATCGTACCACTGCAATCCAACCTGGGCAACAAGAGCAAAATCCCATCTCAAAAAAAAAAAAAATAAAAAAAATAAAGAACTCTGGTGTCACACACTCAGGTTCCGATCCAGATCCCCACTCGCTAGCTGTGTGACTTTGAGCAAACTGTTTCACCTTTCTTCCCTCAGTCTCTCCATCCCCAAGTGGGGGTAATAATGGTACTGATCTTGAGAGTTTTATTCATTATCGTTATTCGTCTGCTACCTGGAGGCTTCGTGTGGACATCAGACCAAAATAACGCTCTGAGACAGGATGCTCCAGGCCCTTGAACTCAGCTGCGCCTTCTGCCTGGCGTGCCTTCCACTCTCTGGTCCAGCTGGAGCATCTATATTTGTCATTTAGGACTTACGTTTCGGTCATCTCCTCTGTGAAGCCCTCTCAGAGTTCAGGTACCTGCCCTGAGCTCCCGCAACTCCTATGCACACCCCTAATTAACGCATGTCTCCCAGAACTGGGAGGGGCCCTTTCTCTGTCCACCACCCCTTATTCCCTATGTTGTGTGGGCAACAAAGACCCTTAATTTCTCTTGGGGTCCCTGCAAGACACCAGGCACAGAGGGGACTAGCTGAAAGTTTGCCAACCAAATAACTCAAGTAGGTCCATCTGGGAGACTATTCCCAGGAGAAAGTCTGCCAGAACCCAGGGCTACAGCAGGGGATGGAAGGAGGGAGGGGGAGGGGACTCAAGCAGAGACCACATGGTCACATGAACCCAACTGGACAGCCACAGGGGCGCTTACACCCTGGAGCCGTATCCCCAAGACCTAGGTGTCCATGATCTGAGGCCTTGAGTTAATCAATATTAGCTGGGCACAGTGGCTCACACCTGTAATCCCAGCACTTTGGGAGACTGAGGCAGGTGGATCACTTGAGGTCAGGAGTTCAAGACCAGCCTGGCCAACATGGCGAAATCCCATCTCTACTAAAAATACAAAAATTAGCTGGGTGTGGTGGCGCGTGCCTATAATCCCAGCTACTCAGGAGGCTGAGGCAGGAGAATCGCTTGAACCCGGGAGGTGGAGGTTCTAGTGAGCCGAGGTGGCACCACTATACTCCAGCCTGAGTGAAAGAGCAAGATCCTGTCTCAAAAAATAATAATAAAATAATAATAATTGCCAACATTTATTGAATGCTTGCTGTATACATTTTATATATCAACTTGAACAACCCATGAGAGGGAGATGATGATCACCTGCATTTTTACAGATGAGGAAAACCTCCACAGGGAGGGCAAGTGACTTGCCCAACATCACCCAGCCTGAAATAACAGGGCTGAGAGAGGATTGCAGGCCTTCTCCCTCTAGGATCTGGCCTTTTGACCACTCTGCTGTGATGGGCAAGGAGGAGCCGGTGTTTCTAGCAATATTTATGCATTTGTAATAGAACATTCAGAAATCTGAGAAAGATGAGGAGGACAAGTTCATCACTAGCCCTGTAAACGGATGGCAGAGTAACTGGCAAAGAGACGGGGAAAGGCATTCCAGGCAGGGGACAGTGTAAGCGACGGTGTGGAGGGAGGATCCCAGGGACACGATCTCTGGATTCCAGAATCCCAGGGGACAGATGCAGGGGGTTTGGTGGTGGGCAGGGCAGAGTGGCAGGAGGCACTGTAGTGACTCGCTGGTCCCAGGGTCACTGGGACTGAGCCACCATGTACAGGTGGCAAGAGAAACCGGGCCTCTTGCCATCACCAGGATCTGTCAACAGGCCTGAGAAGGAACTGACCAACAGCTTTGCACCTTCCCCAAGGACTTCCTTCTCACCCCATAATTATGTGATTACTCACTGGTGGCTCTGGGAAGGCAGGTGAGGCTTCCTGGAGGGAGGAACCTGAATGTTCAGAAAGGTCCACATGGAGGCTGGGGCTGCTGGGACCCCCACAGTTAGGTCCAGGTAGGCTGGCCCCTTCCTCCTCTCCCAGGAACCCCAACCTGCTGGGCCCAGCTCAGTCACTGCTGCCAGTGGCGAGAGAGGTGGGTCTCCCCCAGCCTGTTCCAAGTCCTCATTGTCTCCGTGCAGCCAGCAGCCAAGGCTGGGCCCACAGAAGCTGGAGAGCCCAGGGGGTAATTTCAGAAATAAGAGGCTTTGGGTTCCCAAAAATCCAGGCTCACTCTATTCTGAGACAAAAACACCTCTGTTTCTGGCTCTCCCTTCTTAGAAGGGCCGTTCCCTTTATAGCCGAGGGCGAAACCAGGGCCACCCAAGGGCTTGCAGCAAGTCGGAGCAGCAGCCACCAGGCAGCCTGCCTCCTGCACCCCCACCCAGGCCTCGCCCCCAGACGCCCCTGAGAGGGTGAGACAGGCCAGTGAGCAGACAGCTACCTGGGGGGCAGAGGCTGAGCAGGGAAGCATGGAGACCTGGGGCAGGGGGAGAACGCAGAGGTGACAACTCTCCGGGGAACTGTGGGGACGTCTGCTGAGGGGTGGGAGATGAGCCTGTGGCTGGATTCCAGGACCCCAGAGGACAGGGCTGAGAAAGAGGGAATGAGCTCCCCTTCTGCTCTAGCCCCCCAACTGGTTGGGATCCAGAGATCGTGCCCCTGGGATCCTCCCTCCACACCTTTGCTTACACTGTCCCCTGCCTGGAGGGGGATTGGGGTGAGCTGGCTCTGGGCCATCCTGAGTGGGGCGGGGACAGACAGCAGGGCTGGGAGGGAGCTGAAGACCTCATGACTAGGTTTCGGGAGGCAGGGAGCTCTGCCTGGGGAGATGCGGGTTCAGGGGACACGATCTCAGTCTCCAGGGAGCAGGGCCCCTCTATGGCCCAGCGGGGCCAAGGGGAGGCTGGCAGAGGTGGGTCTTGGCTGTGACTGAACCAAATCATTTTCATCAACAGAAACCCCCCGAGAGGCAGGGGCTGCCCGAGGTATGCAGAACGAGCTCCCCATTGGAGGCGTATGTCAACAAGGGGATGGCTAGAATTTGGCAAAGCATTTATGGACTGGGGAGCTTGCGGCGTGAGACCAGTGTTCTCAAAGCGTGCTCTACGGAATGCTACGGCAGGATCACTTGGGAAGTTCATCAGAAATGCAGGTCCCTGGACCCCAGCACGGACCCACTGAATCAGACTCAGAGGACACAGGGCCTGGAATCTGGGTTTGTCACAAGCTCCCTCAAATCTGACTCTCATGCACAATGACGTCTCCAAGCCACCGGACCGGAGAGCCCCTGAGGTCCCTTCTCCAGAGATAACCTGGATTCTCCCCATTGTGGAGATGGCATCAAAGAGAACAGTGTCCTGGACAGGCGCAGTGGCTCACACCTATAATCCCAGCATTCTGGGAGGCCAAGGGGGGCGGATCATGAGGTCAAGAGATCGAGACCATCCTGGCCAACATGGTGAACCCCGTCTCTACTAAAAATACAAAAATTAGCTGGGCGTGGTGGCGCATGCCTGTAGTCCCAGCTATTCAGGAGGCTGAGGCAGGAGAATCGCTTGAACCCAGGAGGCAGAGGTCGCAGTGAGCTGAGATCGCACCACTGCACTCCAGCCTGGCGACAGTGCGAGACTCCGTCTCAAAAGTAAAAAAAAAAAAAAAGAGAGAGAGAGAGCAGTGTCCCAAGGAAGGGATGATCTGGAAGTCAGTGGGGCCCACACGCCCACTCAGGAATCTGCAGGACGCAGGTGTGAGTTCATTCTATCCTTATAGCCTGGGGTGTCAATGGTGGTTGCCACCGCTCTACCTACTGGACAGGTGAGCAAACCAAGACCCAGAGAGGTTCAGTCACTTGGCCAGGGTCACACAGCTAGTGAGGAGCCAGGCTGGGAGTGGGAGCAGATGGGCTGCTGCAGAGTCCTCGAGCCTGGGCTCTGCTGCCCTCTGCCCTCTGACCTAACCCACAGGCTCCAACCACCCAGACACCTGCAGTTTCCACCCATTTTCCTATCAGCTCCTCGTGGCTTTCTTGGCCGCCCAAAGCTGTTCACGTGAACGTGCCCTGCCCTTAGCTTCCTGCTCCCTTGTTCTGTGGACCCTGTTCACACACACCCTAAGGCCTCCTCCCTCCCTGGGCCCCTGCTGAAAGAGAAGCCGATCTCCTGTCTCAGGAGCCAGTGCCGGCCGGCAAAGGGGACCTTCCTCTACTTCCTGCCACAGACCCTGTCCCCACACACTTCCTGCCCCTGCTCTGCTGGGAGGCCACTTCCTCCCCCAGTGCTGGATTCCACCCCCAGCTCACCCTCAAACATGGCCCCCTCTCTCCTCCTGCTTGCCCCTCTCTGCTCCCTGGAGGCTGTTCTGTCCTCCCCTCTTGAAAAGCAATGCCAGCTTCCTGGGATCTTCTGCCAACTCCAGCTACCATGCCCTTTGCTCCTGTCAGCTCAGCTCCTCAAGGGAATTGTCTACCCTCGGTGTCCTGCTTCCCCTCCCTCACCCTCCTCACCCTGCTCCAAGCTGGCATCTGCCCCTCCACTGCACAGAACGGCTCCCCCACCACCTGCCTTTACAGGGAGGAAGCAGCAACATGGAGGAACCGAACTATAGGGGCTACAAGGATTGCTCAGCTCTGATCCCCGAAGGCCAAAAGGCATCTTTGGCCACGGGGCTCCGGGCAGGTGGGAAGGCAGGGAAGGGGGCGGGAGGCTCTGGGATGGTGGTGCAAAGCATTGTGGCTGGAGGCCTCCAAGCCAAGGAAGGGCCACAGGGAGCCCTGAGGTGGGCTGGTTCCTGTCCAGCCGGCTCCCTGGGCAGCTCCCCAAATGGGTAAAACTGTGCAGCTGGCCAGCCCCTAACCCTCCTTCCACCCTTCCCCCACCCGCCCTCTCCAGCACACACTCTCCTCTTTAACCCCACAAAGAGCCTGGCTCTGCCAGGTTAATCATTCTTACAAATGCAGACGCTGGGGGACACGGGTGCAGCCTTCACATATCTGTGGGGCTGTCATGTGGAAGAGGGAGCTGCGCCGTGGGGGGCAGGCCAGGGAAGCTGTGGGGGCAGGTGCAGCTCTGTTTGGACCACCTCAGAGAGAACCAGCTATGCTGGGGGGATGTTAATCTCCCTGAGCCTAAAAGTGGACAATCCCATGAATAAAACATTTGCCAATGCCTTCCCCTTTCCTGAGCATTCCTGGAGGCCGCCTTGCTCACCCTACCGGGCAGGTGGTGATTACCCCTTTTATAGACAAGGAAACTGAGGCCCAGGGCCATGTAGCAGGTCTGCGGCTGACTCTGGGCTGGAGCCCAAGTCTCCTGTCTGGAGGGAGGGGCAGGGAAGACCTGCCAGTCCTGCAGCTGATCCACTCACCCAGGAGCCAAAGACAGGGCAGGCCTCTCCACACTCGCTGGGCCTGGGCCGTGGGGAGGGGTCAGGGGATCTGCCGGGGAGGGGCAGACATCTTGGCAGGGAGTGAGCACCCCATCCACAGTAGTATTCAAGCAGGGTTTGTTGACAGATTCAACGACTATACATGCCCATAACCCTTTCAAACCCAGATTCTAGGGCACCATGATTTCTTTGGGGGATAGAAAATGAGAAAATGGAAAATTCCGGATTGCTGTGAGAATCCTAGCCAGCATTCTCTGTGCCAGGCAGATGGATCTTCTCATTTCACCCTCACATCAATCCATAAGGCAGGTGCCATTATCATCCCCACTTTCCACATCCGGATACTGAGGCTCAGAGACACACAGTGACTTGCCTAAGGCCACACAGCCCATAAGTGGCAGGACCAGGGCTGACAGCCAGGTCTGTTTTCTGAATCCAGGCTGGTGCCGCGGCATTGAATGCCCTCAGGACAGCTCTCAGCTGACTGCCAGTCTGGTCCATTTCCCTTGTGGCCAGCACCAGACTGTGCCAGGCTGCCAGGAGGCAGAAGGAAGGCTCTCAGGGTGCTCACAGGCCCAGGGCCCTGCGTTATCTACAAAGGCACAGCCCTTCATGTGTTCAAAGTCCTTCCCTGTATGCCTCCCAGAAGGAGGCAAGGAGGCTGGACGAAGAGCATGGGGCTCAGGGAGGGGCCGTGTGGGACTCTGGACCAGCAGCCATGTGGTCAAGACAGTGTCAGGCCTCTTACAGGCAGGGCTGATCCTTGCATGGCAGCCTGTGACACACGAGCTGGTGTGGGCTGGCACAATGGGCCTCAGTGGCTACTGCCCTGAAGGATGGCATCCCGTCTGCACGCCCCAGAGTAGAGGCCAAGGAACCTGCTTGCTGAGAAGCAGTATGCTACAGAAAGAAGGAGGGAGGGGCCAGGCACGGTGGCTCACGCCTGTAATCCCAGCACTTTGGGAGGCCGAAGCGGGCAGATCACCTGAGGTCAGGGTTCAAGACCAGCCTCGCCAATATGGTGAAACCCTGTCTCTACTAAAAATACAAAATTAGCCGGGCATGGTGGCGGGTGCCTGTAGTCTCTGCTACTTGGGAGGCTGAGGCAGAAGAATCAGTTGAACCCAGGAGGCAGACGTTGCAGTGAGCCAAGATCAGGCCATTGCACTCCAGCCTGGGCAACAAGAGTGAAACTCTGTCTCAAAAAAGAAAAGAGGGAGGGAAGTAGCCCAGGGAGTCAAAATGCCTAGGTTCCGGTCCTGGCTCCCTGCGTTGGGGCTGTGTGACTTTGGAACAGGCACCTGCCTTCTCTGAACCTCCATTTGTTCATCTGCAAAATCGGGATGATGGTCAGAGATGTTTGAGAGTGTCAGAGAGGCCTCTGGTCCAAGATAACCGTGAATGGCTTTGGTCCCCTAATGTATGGTCTCTGATGTCGCCGCCAGTGCCCAGCTGCTCAGCAGCAGAGGCCCAATCCTCTCCAGCTCCCCCTGCTCAGCCCACCACCCCGACTCCCACACCTACCAGCAGGATGTCGGCAACCACTGCCCAGTTGCAGGACAGAAGCAGCTCCCCAAGGCCCAGGAACACCTGTGGACAGAGGGTGGCCTGGGTGAGGATTCCCAGATCCCAGTCACCAACCCCACCTGTTGCTTCCCACCTGTGGAGAGGAGAGACTGGGACGCTACAGAGAAAGGCATTATTGAGACTTATTGGAGTGAGCGAGGAAGGCCTAGAACTATTTTTCCAGTTCCAGCAGCCTTGACGGTAGGTAGACAGAGCCAGGACCCATAAGCGAGTGTCCAGCCCCTGGAGTCCCTCGCTGGGGCCCAGGAGGAAGCAGCTAGGCCTCCTCCCAGGCCACTTTTAAAGGTAAGAAAACAGACTTTAAGCCAGGCACGGTGGCTCAAGCCTGTAATTCCAGCACTTTGGGAGGCTGAGGTGGGCGGATCACTTGAGGTCAGGAGTTCAAGACCAGCCTGGCCAACATGGTAAAACCCCATCTCTACTAAAAATACAAAAATTAGCAGGGTGTGGTGGCTCACACCTGTAGTTCCAGCTACTCAGGAGGCTGAGGCAGGAGAATAGCTTGAACCCAAGAGGCAGAGGTTGCAGGGAGCCGAGATCACACCACTGCACTCCAGCCTGGGTGACAGAGTGAGACTCCGCCTCAAAAAAAAAAAAAAAAAAAGGAAAAGTGAAAAAAAAACAGACTTTAGAGGACAAAGAGTAAAAGACAACTCGGAGGCTGTCCACCCCTCCTCTGTTTTCCCCAAAAGTCCGTATACACTGATAAGGCACCTACCGTGTGCCAGCCAGCGTGCCCAGCCCCAGGCACCCCACCAAAGGACCCTCCGGGCCATCCCCTTCCCTTGGAGCAGCACAGGGAGGTGGGCGAGGCCTGGTACACCCATCATGCGGACAGTCAAACCGAGCCTGGTCGAGGACGGGGCTTGTCTGGGGTCACCAGCTGCCCCTGGGTAAAGCCTGCTTGGAATGTGAGGCTTCCGGCCCCTGCCCAGTGCCCACCCCCAGCCCTGCTCCCAGTGTCCTCTGGTTACAAGCCCAGAACACGCCCCCTGCCTTCACCTCGTGCCAAGGGATTAGGACAATCCTCATTCCCCTCACTCAAGAAGAGTTTAATGAAGCAGCAAGAAGAAAGAGAGAAAAAAAGAGTCTCATTTCTCAAAGCTTCCAAGAGCTTATTGCAGGGGTGGAATTAGTCATTCCTGGATCACGGGGCTGTCCCCAGGGTAGCCCAGGCTCAGGCACCCAGAGACCTGATGATCAGTGGCCAGGGAGCACCCAGGATGGAGGACCTGAAGGACTGCCACCCAAACACCTGCCACGCACCAGCCCTGTCCTCTCTTGTGACCCTGTCTAACCCCTCAGGTCAGGTGCCCTGTAAGGCAGACGTCATTACACCCATTTCACAGACAAACTCAGGCCAGAGGGCATGCATCAAGCCACGTCCTGGTGAGCGCCCCCCACCCCCCACGCCGTGATGGCCTGTGCATGGTGAGGTTGAAGAGGCCACGGGGGGAAGAGGGGAGTGGGGGTTCCCAGCATCCACAGTACCTGGTGAGGCTAGCACTGGGGAATCAGAGGACACCCCGAGATGGGCAGGGGGCCCCTGGACAGAGGTGGCGCCAGGGAGAGCCCTGAAGGACAGTCAGGATCAGGACGGGCCCAGGACAGCCACAAGACCACGCCAGCCGGGGACCCACGGGAGCGGAGGCAAGGAGCTGGGATGTGGCCACCATGCCGGGCGGGACAGGAACGCGGCCCAGCTCTGGTGGAGGGAGAGCAGAACCAGCCAAGGAGTCCCAGCAGCCATGCGCTCTCCTGGCCTAACCCAGCCCCTGGGACTGCAGTGCCTGGTCCCTGGCACCCAAACTGAGAGGCCCCTGAGGGCAGGTGGGTCTCCCTCAGGCCTAGGACATGGGGCCGGGCACCCACAGGGGCAGGAATCAGGAAGTCGCTGGCAGGCAGGTCTCAGGCGGGGCCCGGGCAGCTGCGGATCCACATTCCAGCCTAGCAGGGTCTGCCAGCTGCCTCCTGGGGCCACATGAAAGCCCAGCCCGACTCACACCCATCTCCCTCTGACTTCTTCCGGGCACCTGCACCTGGCCCTCCAGGCCTCTCCCCCCTTCACATTGCCAGCGTCTGCCTCTGTGACCTCTGTGCAGCCCAGGCACGCTGTCCCCCAACCAGCTCCCCGTTTTGCTCTCCCCGGCCACCCCACACCCATAGGACATGCTGAAATACACCCTTTCCTTCCTCCAGCTGGGACAGGGTGGATCCCGGCCCCAAAATAGAGCCCATCAGAGGGAGGCTGCAGCTACAATGGGGCCTTTCAGGCTGAAGAAGCCGCCCGACGATGCCAGGTCTCCTCAGACACACCTGGAGGCCGGCACCGCACCAACAAATCCTCGTCTCCACTTGGCAGCTTTGAGGGGCAAAGGGCTCAGCTGCGGAGAGGCCACCTTCTAATCCTGTAATTACAGTCTCCCGGGGCAGCGGCCACCAGGGCTGACTCAGCTCCAGGAGGGGCTCCACAGCCAAGGGGTGTGACCTCCTGGGGTGGACGGGCGCAGCCCCACCCTGCCTTGCTGAGCGGGCCTGGGGTGGTCCCCGCCTCTGGGCCTTGGTTTCCCCAACGGTACGACGCCAGGGTGCCCCAGATGCTCCACCAGGGCCCTTCAGCACCAGCAGCCCCTGCTTGTTAAGATGGTAACCCCGCTTTGCACTGGGGCTCCTCACAGGCCAGTGCATGCTGGGTCCTAGCGTTCAGTGGCTTCCATGAGCAGTTCAAACCCGGGCTCCACAACTCAAAAGCAAAGAAAACACACAAAAAGGGCCCTGGTTTGTAGAATTCAGCTGACTGTTCGAAGCTGCTCCTACAGGAGCATCTCAGCTCTGCAGTCCCAGGTCCTTCCTGGACGGCCACAGGCACCTCACACTGAACAGCTGCCTAAACTCATTCTCTCCCCTGTCCCCAAACATCTCTGTTCCTGCCCAGTGTGGCTGAGCCAGCCAGGAGACAGGCCCCAGGCGCGGACTGGTCACCAGCAAGCTGCCGGAGCTGATCCCCTCTGGCTCAGGAATAGCACCTGCTCCCCATCACCCAGGCCAGACGCTGGGGTTGGGGGGTCCCTACATGCCTTCCTCACCCTCACTCCCCTCATCACTGATTTCTGTCCGTTTTGCATCCGCACGTTCCTCGAATCTGCCTCTTCCTCCTGCCCATGGCCGCTGGCCAGTGCACTCCAGGCCTCCCCGGCCATCTCCTCCCCAGTTTCCCAGGCCCCACCATCCCTCCAGACACCAGCCCCAGAGGGGACTTCCGAAACAGAAATCTGACTCTGCCCCTGTCTCCTCAGAGTCTGTGTGGCCTCCCTGCACCCTGACTTAGATCCCTCTGGGAGATAGGGCCTGGGAACACTGCCTGGAGCCTGAGAAACATGGAGCCCCTCAGCCCCTGGCCTCTGCCATTCCAGACCAAGAGAATTTCCCCCTCGAGCTAGGAAAGTGATGATAAATGTCCCTGGCTTTAGTCATCCCCGGCCACAGAGACCCACACACAGAAGTATCCATGCTCACACTGTCACACATGCGGCCGCGCCAACATGCCCAGACACACGCACAGCCGAGGCCTCTCACAAGTGCACGTGAGACCAACACACAAGCACACTCACACACATGGACCCACACACGGACACCCACAATCTGAGACACACACGAAGAACTCACACGCCACAACTACGTACATATGCGGGGAGCCATTCAAAATACCAAAACATGTGTGGCGAGGGCACCAGAAAGATGATGACTATAAACCCTGGCACAGGCTCGTTGGGGTGGACTTGCCGAAAAACAGCCTGGCATGTACCCACGCATACCTGCGGTCTCATCATAAACACAGTAATTATGCTCTCACACACACACACATACACAAACATGCTTGTGTCTCACTCCTGTGCACATCCATGCACAAGAGTGGATGTGCGTACACGCACACCTCTCCTCTCGTCCACCTGCACGCACAGGTCAGCAGGAGGAGGAAGCAGGAGGAAAGGGTCAGCCCCTGTGGGGTGGCGGGGGCGGTGCCTTCAATCTTGGTTCAGCTCAGTCTTCCAACTGGGCGGTAACTGACTCTGAACTGCAAAGAATGGATTCTGGGCCCACCGAGAAGGGAGAAGGCCAGTATCCCCTGGGGGCTCGCTGTCCCTGGGGCAGAGCTGAGACCCAAACCTCCTCCCTCACGGACGATCTCTTTGCCTGAGCCAGTCAGGACACAGGCCCCAGGACACAGACCAGCCGCCAGCAAGCTGCTGCACCGTCTGGCACGCTTTGTCCCTGGACTTGCCAACCTGTAATTGCAAGGACTGGCATTGGGGCACGAGGGCACCGCCTGGTTTCCAGGGGCCGGCAGCAGCCCAACAAGCCAGTGGGCAGGCAGGTGGGGACTGAGGCAGTGAAGGGAGCAAAACCTTTGCGTCCTCCCAGACAATTCGGCTGAGATTGTGAGCTCTTCTGGTGGGCCGTGCTGCCAGCCAACAGACACCTGTTATATCTTGGCAGAGAGGTGGGGCCCTCAGAGGAAGGACGAGTGGGCCTGTCTCAGCCCCTCTCAGACAGCCCCTGGTGGGGCCTGGTTTGTCCAGCCCAGAAAGCCAGGTAGAAAGGGCTTATCCAAGAGGCTCTCTAAGGGCCAAGTCTGGGAAGTGGTAGGAACGCTTCCCAGAGTTGGGGAGCTCACATAGCCCAGGTTTCCGCACCACTCCAGGGGCCACAGAGCAGATCCCACAGCCATCCCCTGCATCCTGGGCTGACCCTTGATGACAGCTATGGTGGACCACGTCCTGGCTGATCTCTGCCAACCACCCTGCAAGCTCCCCTGTGGACACCAGATGGGCAGTTATCAGGCCTCCATCCCAGGTCCTCACTCAGGAGTCTTCAAGACTGGGAAGGGGCTGGGCACAGTGGCTCCCACCTGTAATCCCAGCACTTTGGGAAGCCGAGGCAGGCAGATCACTTGAGGCCAGGAGTTCGAGACCAGCCTGGCCAACATGGTAAAACCCCTTCTCTACTAAAAATACAAAAATTAGCCAGGTGTGGCGGCGGGTGCCTGTAATCCCAGCTACTCGGGTGGCTAAAGCACAAGAATCACTTGTGCCCGGGAGGTGGAGGTTGACAGATCGCACCTGCACTCTGGCCTGGGCAAAAGAGTGAGACTCTCTCTCTTTAAAAAAAAAAAAAAAAAAAGACTGGGAAGAGCAGTGTCCTCTCCTGGATCTAAAGGCCTCAGTGACAGCCATGCTGGCTCTGCTCTGTGCAGTGGTGGCCACATCTCTCCTTGGGCAAGGAGGGAACTCAGAGCTATGATGAAGTTTGGGCAAGGAGCAGCCTTCAAGATCAGCTGGGTCAACTCCTGTGCAAAGATGGAGGATTGAAAGTTGCGTCACAGACTTGAGTTCCCACACAGAAGCAAAAAACAGTAAGCCAGAAAAAAGTGATTTTTTAACCAAAGAAAAGAAGAAAACCTAGTGAAATAAACATTCAATACTGGCAGCCAGGCGCAGTGGCTCACACCTATAATCCCAACACTTTGGGAGGCTGAGGCAGGAGGATTGCTTGAGCCCAGGAGTTCAAGACCAGCCTGGACAACATAGTGAGCCTCTATCTCTACAGATAATTTTAAAATTAGCCAGGCATGGTGGCATGCACCTGTGATCCCAGCTATTCCAGAGGCTGAAGGGGGAGGATCCCTTAAGCCTGGGAGGTTGAGGCTGCAGTGAGCCATGATCACACCACTGCACTGCACTCCAGCCTGGGTGACAGCAAAATCCTCAAAAAAAAAAAAAAAAAAAAAAAAAAAAAAAAAGGCTGCCAAGCAAAAGAGCAGACAATTCTGTAGAAGAGAGTAATACCCTTCTCGGCTTCCCCTCCCCAAAGCCATTCACTAAAACCCCCATATCTGGAGAGAAATTAACTGAGTAGTAGTCCCTAACTGAGAGCCAGCAGGGAAAGCTGCTGGGGAGAGGAAAAACAGAGAAAGCCAACAATGGCTCCAATCACGGACTCCACTCAAGGCCTGAGGGCAACCCCCATCTCAGAAGGGAATGCATCCAGTAATTAAGTAGAATGAACCATGTTGTAGAGCATTTACCTGAATCCCAGAAGACAGAGCAGAGCCCAGGTGTTTTCACAGACTCCTCATTTGCCTGAGCCCTGCATTTCCCTCCGGCAACAGAAAAGTCTGCGGAGCCCAAGCTCAACTCAAACTGCATCCCCTTTGGACAATGGAATGGTCACAGAGAAGGCAGGGAGAGTCAAAGACAAAGAGTCATCCACATTACATCAAAGCAAATTCGGTTTCTGAGCAGAGCTGCCTACACCCAGCTCAGAGGAAAGTATTCTGCATGTAAACTATGGATACATATTGTGGAAAAGGAAAGAAGGAAGGAAGGGAGGGAGACAAGGAGAAAAAAATCCAACTTGGCCAGGCGCAGTGGCTCACGCCTGTAATCCCAACACTTTGGGAGGCTGAGACGGGTGGATCACTTGAGGTCAGGAGTTCGAGACCAGCCTGGTCAACATGGTAAAACCCCATCTCTACTAAAAAATACAAAAATTGGCTGGCGTCGTGGAGCACGCCTGTAGTCCCAGCTACTCGGGAGGCTAAGGCAGGAGGATCGCTTGAACCCAGGAGGTGGAGGTTGCAGAGAGCTGAGATTGTGCCACTGCACTCCAGCTTGGGCGACAGAGTGAGACTCTGTCTCAAAAAAAAACAAAAAATCCAACCTAAAAGATAGGTGATAAGAGAAGGAGCAGAAGGAAATTCCTTATATTGGCTTCAAGCTATAAAACAATGCAGTGAGAATATTAATTCAGACCGGGCACAGTGGTACATGCCTGTAATCCCAGCACTTTGGGAGGCCGAGGAGGGTGGATCACTTGAGCCGAGGAGTTTGAGACCAGCCTGGGAAACATGGTGAAACCCTGCCTTTACAAAAAATACAAAAATTAGCTGGGTGTGGTGGTGCATGCCTGTGGTCTCAGCTACTTGGGAGGCTGAGGTGGGAGGATCACTTGAGCCCAGGAGGTCAAGGCTGCAGACAGCCATGATTGCACCACTGCACTCCAGCCTGAGTGACAGAGTAAGACCCTGTCTCAAAATAAATAAATAAATATCAAAGAAAAGACAATCTCACGAATAAATGAACCAAAAGAAAATAAACTCTCTAGCCTTTTGGGGGACAAGGGGTAGATAAAAACTCCTTAATCATAAAATCTACCCAGTTAGGAGTTGAAGCAAAATAAAAACTCAGGAATAAAGAATCTGTGTAAACAGACTGATAACAAACATTGAATCTACTTAAATGTGAAACTGTTGTCAAGCCACTACAAGGATGATGCTTAAAGAGCAGACTGTGGCCAGGCACAGTGGCTCACGCCTGTAATCCCAGCACTTTGGGAGGCCGAGGCGGGTGGATCACCTGAGGTTGGGGGTTCACAACCAGCCTGACCAACATAGAGAAACCCTATCTCTACTAAAAATACAAAATTAGCTGGGCGTGGTGTCGCATGCCTATAATCCCAGCTACTCAGAAGGCTGAGGCAGGAGAATTGTTTGAACCCGGGAGGCAGAGGTTGTGGTGATCCGAGTTCGTGCCATCCCACTCCAGCCTGGGCAACAAGAGCGAAACTGTGTCTCACAAAAAAAAGAAAAAGAACAGACTGTGAATGCTCTACATCTGGAAAAGTAAAGATATTAATATAACAAAAATCAGGAGGTTGGGGAGAGAAGGGAGAGAGGAGGTATAAGAAGGCTGGTGTCCTCTTTCATAGCTAGTATTCATCAATAAGTCCACAGTTTTACAACTAATTCGAACTTAATTCCTTTGATTTTACGTTTATTCAAGTGGATTCATATAAATTAAACATATTATATGATTCTATTTATATGAATTATCCAGAACAGACAAATCTATAAAGACAGAAAGTAGATTTAGCAGCTGCCTAGGGCCCGGGCTGGGGAGCAGAGAGATAGATTGAAGGGAAATGGGGGTGACTGCTAATAGGCATGAAATTTCTTTTTGGGGTGAGCAAAATGTTCTAAAACTGATGTGGTGATGGTTGTAGAACTCTGTGAATGTACGAAAAACCAGTGAATTATACACTTTATTGGGTGAACTGTCCAATATATTAATTATTACTAATATTATTTTAAGACAGGGTCTTGCTCTGTTGCCCAGGCTGGAGTGCAGTGGCGTGATCTCGGCTCACTGCAACCTCTGCCTCCTGAGTTCAATCGATTCTCAGCCTCAGCCTCCCAAGTAGCTGGGATTACAGGCGCCCACCACCACACTTAGTTAATTTTTGTATTTTTAGTAGAGACGGGGTTTCACCATGTTGGCCAGGCTGGTCTCGAACTCCTGACCTCAAGTGATCCGCCCACCTCGGCCTCCCAAAGTGCTGGGATTACAGGCGTGAGTCACTGTGCCTGGCCTGATACATGAATTGTATCTCAATAAATCTGTTTTTAAAAATTGCACTACTATATAACCCCAGTTTAATAAAACTATTTTTACCTAACCATAAGCCTGTGAATGTATAGAGAGACACGTGTACGGAATGACGGTTACCTAATTAAATAACAAATATAGAAGCAAAAAGGCCAAAATGTGAAGAATTATTTATTCTTGTAGATGAAAACGTGAATAACGGTTATTTTCTTCTCTGTACTTTTATGCTTTTGTTTTTGTTTTTTTAGTGTCTCCCAAATAAAAATATAAAAGTCATTTGATACAACACGATACAGTGAATTGTTGGTCCCACCCTTGACCTCACCACGGTAGCACTGCGCATTCACAGCCTTGACTGACATGTGGAATGCGTCCAAGCTCGAGCTTCAGGTCTATGCTCATGCCCTTGGTGATCTCATTTGGTCTCATGGCTTTAAATAACCAGCCTGGACCTCTCTCCTGAACTCCAGACACATACATATCCAATTGCTTTTTTTTTTTTTTTTTTTTGAGATGGAGTCTCTCGCTCTGTCGCCCAGGCTGGCGTGCAGTGGCGCGATCCTGGCTCACTGCAACCTCCACCTCCCAGGTCCAAGTGATTCTCATGCCTCAGCTTCCTAAGGAACTGGGACTGCAGGCACCCACCGTCACCCTCGGCTAATTTCTATATTTTTAGTAGAGATGGGGTTTCACCATGTTTGCATTGGGCACCCGGCCCAATTGCCTCTTAATATGTCCAGTTGAGGCCAGGCACAGTGGCTCACGCCTGTAATCCCAGCACTTTGGGAGGCCGAGGCAGGCGGATCACTCAAGCCCAGTAGTTCCAGAGCAGCCTGGGTAACATAGTGAAACCCCGTCTCTACAAAAAAATACAGAAATTAGCTGGGCACGGTGGCTCACACCTGTAGTCCCAGCTACTCAGAAGGCTGAGGTGGGAGGATCCACTTGAGCCCAGAAGGTCCAGGATGCGGTGAGCTGAGATCGCACCAGTGCACTCCAGCCTGGGTGACAGAGCAAGAACCTGTCTTAGAAAACAGGTCCGAGGCCGGGCGCAGTGGCTCACACCTGTAATCCCAGCACTTTGGGAGGCTGAGGTGGGCAGATCACCTGAGGTCAGGAGTTCGAGACCAGCCTGGGCAACATCGTGAAACCCCCGTCTCTACCAAAAACACAAAATTAGCTGGGCCTGGTGGCATGCCCCATAATCCCAGCTACTCGGGAGGCTGAGGCAGGAGAATCACTTGAACCCGGGAGGTGGAGGTTGCAGTGAGCTGAGACCATGCCATTGCCCTCCAGCCTCGGTGACAAGAGCAAAACTCCGTCAAAAAAAAAAAAGAAAGAGAGAGAGAAAGAAAGAAAAAGAAAGAGAGAAAGAAAGAAAGAAAGAAAGAAAGAAAGAAAGAAAGAAAAGAAAGAGAGAGAGAAATAAAGAAAAGAGGTCCAGTTGAATGTCCTAAGAAGCACCTCAAATGTAACATGTCTAAAATGGAACTGCTAATCCCTCCCTCCAAAACAAAAACCCCTGCCCCTCCCTCAGTCTTCCCCCGCCGCCACCGCCCCCTGCCCCACAGTAAGTGGCAACTCCATATGCTTCTAGCTGCTCAGGGCAAAAACCTTGGAGCCGCCCTGGACTCCTTCCTTTCTTTCACACCCAGTCTGTCAGGAAACCCTGTTCATTCTACTTCCAAAATATACCCAGAATCTGACCACTTCTCCACACTTCCTCCATAGCTACCCTGGTCCAAGCCATCACTATCTCCTGCCTATATTACTACAAATCCTCTGGAGTGATTTCTCTGTTTCTGCCTTTGTCCTCTTTCTTTTTTTTAATTTATTTTTTGTTTGTTTTTTTAATTTTTTCTCTCTATGTTGCCCAGGCTGGTCTCAAACTCCTGAGCTTAAGCTCAAGCGATTCTTCCACCTGAGCTGCCCAACGTGCTAGGATGACAGGTGTGCGCCTCCACGCCCAGCCTGTCCTCTTTCATTCTATTCTCAACGTGGCAGCCAGAGAGAGCCTGTTAAACCACGTGGTCCATAAGCTACAAAATGGCCCCAAATTAATCAGGCCTCTTGACATTCACACTTTGTATGAAGTCCCCTGCCATGGTAAACTGGGGGTGGCCTTATACCTTGCTTTGGCCAATAAAATCAGGTGGAAGTAGCCAGGCGCCGTCGCCCATGCCTGTAATCCCAGCACTCTGGGAGGCCGAGGCGAGTGGACCACTTGAGGTCAGGAATTCGAGGCCACCCTGGCCAACCAACATGGTGAAACCCCCCTCTCTACTAAAAATACAAAAATTAGCCGGGCATGGTGGCAGGTGCCTGTAATCCCAGCTACTCTGGAGGCTGAGGCAGAAGAATCACTTGAATTCAGCAGGCAGAGGTTGCAGTGAGCCGAGATCACACCGCACTCCAGCGTGGGCGACAGAGCGAGATTCTGTCATAAATAAATAAATTAATTTAATTAAATTAAATAAATCAGGTGGAAGTGATGCTTTTCAAGTTCCTGGCCTGGTGCTTAACAGACTTTGCAACTTCCACTTTTGCTATCTTAGAGCATTGCCCTGAGATGGTCATATAAGGAAGCTGGTCTAGCCTAGGGGAGGGTGAACGGCCACACGGAGAAGGATGAAGGGGACCCAGGGGACAGCCGGAGGTGAGTAAGGTCAGCGTGGACATTCCAGTGCAGTAATCATCCAGATGAAAGCAGCCACATGAGCGGACACAGGCAAACCAGCAGAGGAACCATCCAGCCAGGCCACAGAATCAGAAATAATTGGGCATTGTTTTAAGCCACGAAGTTTTGGGGTGATTTTTTTTTTGCAGCAGTAGATTCCGGATACAACCCCTAAGTCAGATCCTCTCACCTCTGCGCTGGACAGTCTGGTGGCTTCCAATGTCAGTGACATGGGAAGCCAGAGTGAATCTATGTACAAGACCCTCCATAATCCGCACCCTCACTCCCCCATCACCGTGACCTCTGACTTCATCGCCTCTGCTGCTCCCTGGCTGACCCCATTCCAGCCACATCTCCCCAACACACCAGCCATGCATTCTCCCTCAGGGCCTCCGCACAGGCTGCCCTCCGCATGGACTGCGCTTCCCCGCTCCACCCCCACCCACATGGCTCCACCCCACACCTGCTTCTGGAGTGTCTCCGTCTCAACAAGGCCTCCCCTGGCCCTGTGCATTGCCCCTGTCGCTCTCTTTGTCCCCTTTCCCTGCTGTTGCTCTCCAGAGAACTCATCCCCATCTAACATACTATGGTGTTTGTTTGTTTATTTATTGAGAGGCAGTCTTGCTCTGTCACCAGGCTGGAGTGCAATGGTGCGATCTCGGCTCACTGCAACCTCCGCCTCCCATGTTCCAGCGATTCTCCTGCCTCAGCCTCCCAAGTATCTGGGATTACAGGTGCCCACCACCACCATGCCCAGCTAATTTTTGTATGTTTAGTAGAGGCAGGGTTTCACCATGTTGGCCAGGCTGGTTTCGAACTCCTGACCTCAAGTGATCTGCCTGCCTCGGCCTCCCAAAATGCTGGGGTTACAGGTGTGAGCCACTGTGCCTGGCCATTTTTTTTTTTTTTTTTTTGAGACAGAGTCTCGTTCTGTCACCCAGGCTAGAGTGCAAAGGCGCGATCTCAGCTCACTGCAACCTCCGCCTCCTGGGCTCAAGCGATTCTCCTGCCTCAGCCTCCCAAATAGGTGGGATTACAGGCACGTGCCACCATGCCCGGCTAAGTTTTGTATTTTTAGTAGAGGCAGGGTTTCACCATGTTGGCCAGGCTGGTCTCAAACCCCTGACCTCATGATCTGCCTACCTCGGCCTTCCGAAGTGCTGGGATTACAGGCATGAGCTACCGTGCCTGGCCTATGGTGTTGATTTTCCATGTTTATTGTATTACACACACATACTTTTGCCTGCTTTGTTCATGCTGTACTCCAGTGCCTGGAACAGCGTCTGGGAAAGAGGAGGCGCTGGGGAAAGATTTCATAAGTGAGTGGACATTGCTGCTTTTCCTGGTGGAGACCTGCATCTCAGCCACCTGGCCATGGCCATAGGCTTGGCCCTTTGAGATCTCAAGCACACCTGCTCCCTCAGCCCATGAGGCCAAGCAGGGGTGTGAGGGTGAGCACTCGAGTCCGGGTTTCTCACCGTGAGACCAAAAGAGCAGCGTGGAACTAGAGACCCACCCTGGTAGGCTTCGCCACTGTGCACACAAAACACTTTCCCATGCAATGTCAGATGTCGGCAGGGCCCAGGGGACAGAAGAGAAGGAAACCCTGGGGCATGATGGGAGATTGCATTTTCCAAAGACAGTCACTGCAATATTTCCAGTTCCACAAGTTCTTTCAGATCACTGATACTCTCATCAAAAGATAGAGTCCATTTCTTTTTTTTCTGAAATGGAGTCTCACTCCCTCACCCAGGCTGGAGCACATTGGTGGCGATCCCACCTCCCTATAACCTCCGCCTCCTGTGTTCAAGTGATTCTCCCCCATCAGCCTTCCAAGTAGCTGGGATTACAGGCACCTGCCATCATGCCAGGCTAATTTTTGTATTTTTGTAGCCTCGGGGTTTTGCCACGTTGGCTAAGCTGGTCTTGAACTCCTCATCTCAGGTAATCCTCCCGCCTCGGCCTCCCAAAGTGCTGGGATCACAAGCATGAGCCACTGCGCATGGCCTAGAGTCCATTTCTTTGCCCCACTAATATGAGCAGAAAGTTGTGCTCAGGTAAAAAAAAAAATAGAATGCAGAGAATGCAAGTTACATTCATGGTAACTTTCAAGGGTAGGTCATAAAAGGCAACACAGTTCTACCTGGCCCGCTATCTCAGAACATTAGTCCTTGTTTAACCCGGCCACCATGCTGTGAGGAAGCACAGACCACACGGAGAGGCCACAGACAGGTGTACCAGCCAATGCTAAGGTCTCAGTCAACAGCTGAATCGACTGCCAGGCAGGCCCCACCCCTTTGATGATCCAGCCCCTCACCCTTATCCAGCCTAGCTAACACCAAGTGGAAAAGAGATGTCATCCCCTCTTGCTCTCAAGCCTGGTCCAAACTGCAAATTTGTGAGCAAAATAAATGTTCTTGTTGTTTTAAGCCATTAAATTTTGTTACATATGCATAGTAATTAGAACAGGCTCAGCCGGGAGTGGTGGCTCATGCCTGTAATCCCAGCACTCTGGGAGGCCGAGGCGGGTGGATCACCTGAGGTCAGGAGTTGGAGACCAGCCTGGCCAACATGGTGAAACCCCATCTCTACTAAAAATACCAAAAGTCAGCCGGGCATAGTGGTGGATGCCTGTAATCCCGCTACTCAGGAGGTTGAGACAGGAGAATCGCTTGAACCTGGGAGGCGGAGGTTGCAGTGAGCCGAGATTGCGCCACTGCACTCCAGCCTGCTCAACAAGAGCAAAACTCTGTCTCAAAAAATAAAAAAATAAAAAAGAACAGGCTCAAAAGTTTGCTTATCTCTTTAATGAAGCCGAGAGGTAAAGAGTAGCACTCCCATTTTCTTGCTAAGAAAATTGAGGCTCAGCAAGGTCAAGATCTTGCCCTAGGTCACACAAGTCACACAACTGGTAAGGAAAGAAGGAATGATGGCCAGGTCTTTCAGACAGCTCACAGCATGCTCCCTCCCATGTCCCACTCCTGCCCCTCCACCTTGACCACAAAGCCCACCTAAGGGGGGATAGCCGACGTTCAGCCACATCCTCCAGCCATCAGGTCAGTGACAGTGGAGGCCCTGCTTTGGGTGCAGTCCCTCCTCTGAGCACAAACCTATTCTCTTCTGAAGGGCAGCAGCTCTGGGAAGAAGGCCAACGAAGGTGGTATAAGCCAAGACCTGCTGTGTGCGTGTCTGGACCCTAATTAACAGCCGAGAAGTCCACTTCCCTTGCCAAGAGGACTGGAAAGATGGAAGAGATGGAAGCCTCTGTTTCTGTACGTGGCCACAGGGCATGGGCTCCCCCAGGGAAGGCCCCAGACCAGACTTTATATTCTCAGAAAAGCTCATTTCCATGAAACAAGCAGCATGATTTGGCCCCTACTTCAGGAAATCTGGGAACAGACACACAGTGCCACCAAAAATCATCCTGCCCACACAATGCAGTTACAGGCACAAAAGTAGCAGGAGAAAAGCTATACTTAGCTGCAGGTCCACATGTGCACACAGGCACGTCCCACGCAGTTATCTGCATGTCCTGAGTTGGGTGTGCATGCTCGTGCACAGATAAGTGTACAAAACAGCACACATCGACACACTCATACACACCATGCACATACATACAAATTAAAATAGATATATTTGTACATACAATATACATTTAGCATGTTCATGCTAAATGTATATTGTATGTACAAGTATATTCTTTTTTTTTTTTTTTCGAGATGGAGTCTCACTCTGTTGCCCGGCTGGAGTGCAGTGGCACGATTTCGGCTCACTGCAACCTCCACCTCCCGGGTTCAAGCAACTCTCCTACCTCAGCCTCCAAAGTAGCTGGGATTAAAGGCGCATGCCGCCACGCCCAGCTAAATTTTTAATATATTTTTAGTGGGGACAGGGGCATGGGAGAGAGCATGTTGGCCAGGCTGGTCTCGAACTCATGACCTCAAGTGATTCGCCCACCTTGACCTCCCAAAGTGCTGGGATTACAGGCATGAGTCATCATGCCTGGCTAGTATATTCAGGTTTGGTTTTTTGTTTTGTTTTGTTTTTTTTTTTTTTTGAGACAGAGTCTTGCTTTGTTGCCCAGGCTAGAGTGCAGTGGCGCAATCTCGGCTCACTGCAACCTCCACCTCCTGAGCTCAAGTGATTCTCCTGCCTCAGCCTCCTGAGTAGCTGGGATTACAGGTGCCACCACCATGCCTGGCTAATTTCTGTATTTCCAGTAGAGACAGGGTTTCACCATGTTGGCCAGGCTGGTCTTGAACTCCTGACCTCAAGTGATCCACCCACCTTGCCTCCCAAAGTGTTGGGATTACAGGCGTAAGCCACTGCACCCGGCCAGTATATTCATTTTAATGTCTACACACAAGAATGAACATATACACACTCAGATGCATGCACACACCAGCACACATGCCCACCCAAGAAGAGTTTGGAGCCTGTCTATACCCTTCTTGGGCCCTTCCCAAGAAGAGTTTGGAGCCTGTCTCCCCAGGACTTACTCCTTCAACAGCAGAAATCATGCAGGAAGGACTTTGGTTCCTGCCATCTGAGAAGTGAAGGGATGGATGGATGGATGGATGGATTGGTGGGTGGGTGGGTGGGTGGGTGCGTGGTTGAATGGATGGATGGATGGATGGATGGATAGATTGGTGGATGGATGGATGGATGGATGGATGGATGGATGGATGGATGGATGGATTGGTGGATGGATGGATTGGTGGATGGGTGGGTGGGTGGATGGATGGATGGATGGATGGATTGGTGGGTGGGTGGGAGGGTGGATGGATGGATGGATTGGTGGATGGGTGGGTGGATGGATTGGTGGATGGATGGATGGATGGATGGATGGATGGATGGATGGATGGATGGATGGATGGATGGATGGATGGATGGATGGATGGATGGATGGATGGATGGATGGATGGATGGATGGATGGATGGATGGATGGATGGATGGATGGATGGATGGATGGATGGATGGATGGATGGATGGATGGATGGATGGATGGATGGATGGATGGATGGATGGATGGATGGATGGATGGATGGATGGATGGATGGATGGATGGATGGATGGATGGATGGATGGATGGATGGATGGATGGATGGATGGATGGATGGATGGATGGATGGATGGATGGATGGATGGATGGATGGATGGATGGATGGATGGATGGATGGATGGATGGATGGATGGATGGATGGATGGATGGATGGATGGATGGATGGATGGATGGATGGATGGATGGATGGATGGATGGATGGATGGATGGATGGATGGATGGATGGATGGATGGATGGATGGATGGATGGATGGATGGATGGATGGATGGATGGATGGATGGATGGATGGATTGGTGAATGGGTGGATGGATGAGTAGAAGAAAGTAAGGTGACATCATATTTTGAATCCCAGCAGAAGCCAATTCCTCAGCACCCTCTGGACACCCATCCTAATGCTGACTCCTTTTGCTCCCCAAAAATGTTTTCACCCTTTGAAGTTTTAGGGATGATTCCATATCCCCTGGACTTCCGACTCCTGTATCCAACTGTCTACTAACACCTCCACTTGGATATCAACCTCCCCCGACAAACTCAGAATGTATAAAACCAAGCTGTTGACCTTCCCCAAAACACTTGCTGCTCCTGCTCACTTTCCTGCCTCAATTAATGGGCCCTCCCCGGTTCCAGCTGCTCATGCCAATACCTGGAACTCACCTCTGACTCTTCTTTCATACCCCTCCTGGAATTTATGAGGAAATTCTGATAGCTCTACCTTCAAAATACATATGTAATCCAACTGCCTCTCACAATCGCCATTGTTGCCACTCTGGTTCAAACCGCATCATCTCACCTGCATTCTAACAACAGCCTCCTCACTCCTCTCTGCTTCTGCCCTTGCCCCCAGGTCTATTCTCAACAGAGTAGCCAGAGTGATTCTACTCAGCACAAGCCAGCCAGATAGGGTGGCTCACTCCTATAATCCTAATGCCTGGGGAGGCTGAGGCAGGAGGATTGCTTGAAGCCAGGAGCTCAAGCCTGGGAAACAAAGCAAGACCCTGTCTCAAAAAAAAAAAAAAAAAAAAAAAAAAGAAAAGAAAAGAAAAGAAAGCAAATAATAGAAAAAAATTGAGAAAAATTGATGAAACCAAAAGTTGGTTCTTTGAAAAAATCAGCAAGATAGACAAACCTTTAGATAAACTGACCAAGAAAAAAAGACTCAAATTACTAAAATTAGGAATGAAAGGGGGGACATTACTGCTCACCTTATAGAAATGAAAAGAATTAGAAGGAACTGTTATATAATATAAACTATTGTGTGCCAACAAATTAGATTAACCTAGAATAAATGTACAAATTCCTAAAAAGATACAAACTACTGAAACAACTCAAGAAGAAATAGAAAATTTGAATTGACCTATAACAAGTAAATATTGAGTTAGCAATCAAAAAACTTTCCACAAACAGAAGCCCAGAACCAGATGGCTTCGCTGGTGACTTCTTCCAAATGTTTAAAGATAAATTAACAAATTCTTCATGAAGTCTTCCAAAAAACAGAAGAGGAAGGAACACTTGCCAACTCATTACAAGGCCACTACCCTGATACCAAAACCAGATGAAGACACCACAAGAAAACTGCAGACCAATATCTCTTATGAATGTACGTGCAAAAATCCTCAACAAAATACTACAAACTCAAATCCAGCAATTCAGCCAGGCACGGTGGCTCACACCTGTAATCCCAGCACTTTCGGAGGTTGAGGCAGGTGTATCACAAGGTCAGGAGATCGAGACAATCCTGGCTAACAAGGTGAAACCCCGTCTCTACTAAAAAAAAAAAAAAAATACAAAAAATTAGCCAGGCGTGGTAGCAGGCGCCTGTAGTCCCAGCTACTCGGGAGGCTGAGGCAGGAGAATGGTGTGAACCCGGGCGGCAGAGCTTGCAGTGAGCCGAGATCACGCCACTGCACTCCAGCCTGGGCCACAGAGTGAGACTCTGTCTCAAAAAAAAAAAAAAAAAAAATCCAGCAATACATAAAAATGATTACCCACAATGACCATGGCAAACATATCCCAGGAATGCAAGGTTGGTTAAACATATAAATATCAGTCAATGTAATAAACTGTAGAAATTGAATAAAGGACAAAACTACATGATAATTTCAATAGATGCGGAAGACAAAAGCCAGATGTCTCACTTCTTAGAACAAAACTCCATCTCACCCAATGCCCACAACATCCTACATGATCTGGCACCCATCATCTCTCTGTCCTCACGTCCCTCTCCCACTTCTCTCTCTGCACTAATCACAGTAGCCGCCTTGTTGTTATTCAAACCCATCGGGTACACTCCTGACTCAGGGCCTTCACAGTTGCTGTTCCCTCTACCTGGAACACTGTTCCCCCGAATATCCACATAATTCACTACTTCACCCCCTACAGGTCTTTATTCAACAACTACCTTCTCAGAGAGGTCTCTCTGGCCACCCTACAAAAAATTGCTACCCTCTCCTCCCAATACTCACACTCTCCCTATTTCCTTCCCAACAATACTTCTCTCCTAAGCCTTTATTATTATCTGAAATACTCTGAATTTTACAATAAAATTCACAATACTTATATATCTTGTTTGTTATCTATCTCCCTCAACTAGAATGTAAGTTCTCTCAGGACAGAGACATTTTTGTCTGTTTTATTCACTGCTATATCTACGGCATTGGTTTATTTATTTATTTATTTAGACATGGAGTCTCGCTCTGTCGCCCAGGCTGGAGTGCAATGGCGCAATCTCAGCTCACCGCAACCTCCACCTTCTGGGTTCAAGCGATTCTCCTGCCTCAGCCTCCCCAGTAGCTGAGACCACAGGCACACACCACCATGCCCAGCTAATTTTTTGTATTTTTAGTAGAGACAGGGTTTTGCCGTGTTGCCCAGGCTGGTCTTGAACTCCTGACCTCAGGTGATCCGCCTGCCTCGGCCTCCCAAAGTGCTGGGGTTACATGTATGAAGCACCGCACCCAGCTGCCTATATCTACAGCATTTAAACTAGTATGCCACTTAATTGACAATCAATAAATATTGGTTGAATAAACAAATGAATACAAACAGTTTGTCACTCGACTCTTCACTCAGCCAGCAGTGACTTACCTCACCCACCTGTCCACGTGCCTGACACTGTGCTTCAAGCTGGAGTGCAGAGAAAGACTAGAACCAGACCTGGACCCTGCTAAACTCACAGACAGGGCTGGGAGAGGAGTCAGAACGTACGTAACTGAGACCCCAGGACGACAACACTGGGCGTACTAAGGGAGAGAGGGTCAGGCCCAGCAACCAGGGAGGAATCCATGGAGAGACGGTGGTAAGCTGGCCCTTGAAGGCCTAGAATGCTCTGGACACATGGAGAAGGGAGTGAGGATGGGGAAAGAGAGGGAGAGGGGAGGAATGACTAGGGAATCAAGAGGGGACCTGCGTGGCAGGACTTCAGTGGAGGAATAAGGCTCCTAAGGTTATTGGAGAAGTTCATGAGGGGCTTTAAATGCCGGGATAAGGGGCTGGGCCTAGTTCCACAGGCACCAGGGAGCCATGCGAGGCTTTTGAGCAGGGAAGGGAGGTGGTGTCAGAAAGCTCACTCTGTCAGCCAGGCACAGTGACACATGCCTGAATTCCAGCTACTCGGGAGGCAGCATGGGCAGGATCACTTGAGGCCAGGAGTTCAAGACCAGCCTGGGCAACACAGGGAGACCCTGTCTGGAAGGAAGGAAGGGAAGGAAAAGAGAAAGAAAAGAAAGAAAGAAAGAAGGAAGGAAAGAAAGAAAGAAAGAAAGAAAGAAAGAAAGAAAGAAAGAAAGAAAGAAAGAAAGAAAGGAGGGAAGGAAGAAAGAAAGGAGGGAAGGAAGAAAGGAAGGAAAGGAAGGAAGGAAGGAAGGCGGGTGGGAGGGAGGAAGGGAAGAAAGAAAGAAAGAAAGAAGAAAAGAAAGAAAATGGAAAGAAAGAAAGAAGAAAGAAGGGAGGGAGGGAGGAAGGAAAGAAAGAAGAAAAAGAAAATGGAAAGAAAGAAAGAAAGAAGAAAGAAAGGGAGGGAGGGAGAGAGAGAGGGAGAGGAAGGGAGAGAGGGAGGGAGGGAAAGAAAAGAAAAGAAAAGAAAGAAAAAGCAAGCAAGCTAGCTAGCTCACTCTGGCAGTGTGTGAAGAACAGAAGAACAGACTGTAGTGGGTGAGCAGGAAGACACGGAGACCAGGAAGGTGGCTTCTAGAACAGTTCTGGAGAAAGACAGCAAGGCATGAGCCAGGGAAGGGCAGAGAGGACGGAGAGGAGGGTAGGCCTGGGAGAGGTCAAGGGCTTTGTGACTGACAGTTGTTGGGAAGGAAGAACTGGAGCCTGAATCTCAGGTCAGAACATCCGAGCATTCTACGGAGGCACAGACAGAGCCAAGGGGTGGGGGCGGGATGGCATCACCTCTGAGGGTTAGAGTTCTGGCCGCAGAGGCTCAGCATCGGTGGGTACCATGCCAGACCCAGCAGCTTCCCAGCGCCAGAGGAGGGATGCACTCTGGCCCTGCCCGCCTTTCTGCCCCTCAGCCCCAACCCCCAGGGCAGGCCTAAAGAAGAGTTTCTCCAGCTGGCTTTGGCGGCCAAGACGCAATGTCATTTCTGGATGAGACAACCAGCTCTAGAGATGCGCCAGGCTGCAGGGTGCAGGGGGTGAGGGGGGGGCAGCTGTGTCCCCAAAACACAGCCAAGGAGCACCTCCCAGAACCAACCAAGACAGTGGCAGAAGCAGGGCTGGCAGGGGGCCCCCAGCCCCAGCTGGCTGGTACAGGGACAGCTTTGATGGGGCCTCCATCTGCCTGGGCCCCAGCCTCCCTGTGAGGTCAGGCCCCACCAGCCCCCATCAGCTCCCACCAGCCAGAAGTGATGGTCCCCTCCCTCAGTCAATAAGCATTAAGGGATTTACTAGTGCCTGGGGTGTGCCCCGCTGTTTCTGGATCAGTGCACTATGAAGGACACAGACTTTGGAGGCGTCACGGCCAAGTTGGAGGTTGATTGTTTGTTTGTTTGTTTTGAGACAGGGTCCTACTCTGTCACCCAGGCTGGAGTGCAGTGGCATGATCAGAGCTCACTGCAGCCTCTATCACTGGGGCTCAAACAATTCTCCAGCCTCAGCCTCCCCAGTAGCTGGGACTACAGGCATGTGCCACCATGTCCAACTAATTTTTTAATTTTCTGTAGAGACAGGGTCTTGCTACATTGTCCAGGCTGGTCTCTAACTCCTGAGCTCAAGTGATCCTCTCACTTTGGCCTCCCAAAATACTGGGATTCCAGACGTCAGCCACTGCACCCAGCCAGGTGTTGGAGTTTTGTCTGTCCCACTATTTACCTGATTCTATCTGTGGGCTTCAGTTTTCCAACCTGTCAAATGGCATAAGAAAAAACCTTCCAGGCTGGGCGTGGTGGATCATGCCTGTAATCCCAGCACCTTGGGAGGCCGAGGTAGGCAGATCACTTGAAGTCAGGAGTTTGAGACCAGCCTGGTCAAAATGGTGAAACACCATCTCTACCAAAAATACAAAAATTAGCTGGGTGTGGTGGCATGGGCCTGTAATCCCAGCTACTCAGGAGGCTGAGACAGGAGAATCACTTGAACCTGGGAGGCAGAGGTTGCAGTGAGCTGAGATCGCTCCACTGCACTCCAGCCTGGGCGACAGAGTGAGACCCTGTCTCAAAAAAAAAACCAAAAAAAACACAAAAACAAAAACCAAAAAACACAACAATTAGTGGCATGCCCCTATAATCCCAGCTGCTGGGGAGGCTGAGGCAGGAGAATTGCTTGAACCTGAAAGGTAGAGGTTGCAGTGAGTCTAGATCGTGCCACTGTACTCCAGCCTGGGCAATAGAGAGAGACTCCGTCTCAAAAAAATAAAATAAAATAAAATATGAAAAGAAAAAACCTTCCCCACAAAAGTGTCAGTCGTGAGGACTAAATAAGAGCACGTGCAGAAGAGAATGACAAGACTTTCTAGTCTTCAGGAATTTCTGCAGAGACCCAAGGCTGAGAACAAGGGATGAGCAGTGCCCACATCTCAAGAGAGGTGCCAGCACACCTTCAGGACTCGGCGAGAGAACAGAGCTATCCCATTTGGCCCCCCACTGCTTGCGTGGAAGTCATGCTCAGGGGAGGATTTATTGAAAGAGTTCTGCTCTTGACCAGGCGCGGTGGCTCATGCCTGTAATCCCAGCACTTTGGGAGGCTGAGATGGGCAGATCACTTGAGGACAGGGGTTCGAGACCAGGCTGGGCAACATGGCAAAACCCCATCTCTACTAAAAATACAAAAATTAGCCTGGTGTGGTGGTGCACGCCTGTAGTCCCAGTTGTTCAGGAGGCTGAGGCAAGAGGATTGCTGGAGCCCAGGAGTTCAAGACCAGCCTGAGCAACATAGTGAGAGCCCCCATCTCTAAAAAAGTTAATAAATAAAGAATAAAGAGTTCTACTCTTAAGCTGAGTGAGGGGCTTCAGGTGACACTCACCCCCCCCCCACAGAGGGCAGTGCTTGCCAGGAAGGAAGCTGGCCTTTTCTCCCTGACTGGACGCTGGCTAAATGCTGAGCCTCCTATACCAGGACAGCCTGAGGGGCGTGCATAGAAGACGTCTTTAGGACACTCAGATGCATGTCATCTGGCATTCGGGGAGAATGGACCCTGGGCCCTGACTCCCCCAAGGGAAGTCTGTGGGTGGGGATGCCAGATGGAGTAGTCTGCAGTGTCGTGGGAGGGGAGAGGGCGGCAGTGGGGGAGGCCTCCCTTCCCGACATCCTACAGGGCTCAGATGGACACCGTGGAGGGAGACACGGTGCTCATGAGAGGGGGCCCCTTGCAGGATTGCCTACCGGGGCAAGACAGCCTGGCTGGAAAGGCAACCCTTGCATCAAGGAATTGGGCAAAGCAAAAACCAGGGCCAGAGACCCCAAAACGCCCACAAAGTACCCCCCACACCCCGCCTCTGGGCATCTGCCACATGTGGGGCACCGACAGTCAGCAGAAACAGCTCCGGACACAGGCAATACTTGGCCTGTTCTCAGTCATCCTTCCTTGCCTGCTCATCTCTGGAGAGGACAGAATCGCAAGGGGAGGGGAGATGTCAGGGATGTTGGGGTAGAAGATGGAACAAGGAGAACAAAACCGGACGACAGCCCTGCCTCTTCCCAAGGCAGTTTTCTGGTCCGGATAGAAGCTTTGTTTGGGGCTGGGCGTGATGGCTCACACCTGTAATCCCAGCACTTTGGGAGGCCGAGACAGGCGGATCGCCTGAGGTCAGGAGTTTGAGACCAGCCTGGCCAATGTGGCGAAACCCCATCTCTATTAAAAATACAAAAATTAGCTGGGCGTGGTGGCTCACACATGTAATCCCAGCTACTTGGGAGGCTAAGGCAGGAGAATCGCTTGAACCCAGGAGGCGGAGGTTACCGTGAGCTGAGATCGCGCCACCGCACTCCAGCCTGGGCAACAGGGTGAGACTCAGTCTCAAAAAAAAAGGCTGGGTGCAGTGGCTCACGACTGTAATCTCAGCACTTTGGGAGGCTGAGGTGGGTGGATCACGAGGTCAGGAGTTCAAGACCAGCCTGGCCAACATAGTGAAACCCCGTCTCTACTAAAAATACACAAAAAAATTAGCCGGGCTTGGTGGTGTGTGCCTGTAATCCCAGCTACTTGGGAGACTGAGTCAGGAGAATCACTTGAACCCAGGAGGTGGAGGTTGGTTGCAGTGAGCCAAGATCGTGCCACTGCACTCCAGCCTGGGCGACAGAGCAAGACTCTGTCTCAAAAAAAAAAAAAAAAAAAAAAAAGCTTTATTTGGAAGCAGGGCTAAAGTTGTTTTGATTTCAGTGGGACCAGACTGTTTAGTTCATGTGTGTGACTAGAGAAGCAATGGGCTCTGGCCATGGGTAGGAGATGCAGCCAAACTAGTGTGAGGACAATAAAGTTGTGGCTGGTTTACTTTTCCAAAGTCCAGTCTGCTCAGTAAACCTGGTTAACATGTGCAAGCGCATCTGTGTCTGCAGCCACAGGGCCCAGGGCCATGGAGCTGGGAAAGGAGGAGAGGTCTAGCCCCTCTGCTTGTGGCTGGGCTGGCGTCATCTTCCCAGAAGCAGTAGCCCTTTCCCATGTTGGGGGACAGGCAGGGCTGGGGCTTTGGGGAGCCAGGGACACGGCTGCACACAGGGACCCTCTGGCTCTGGTCCTGCCCTTTGGGCTCCCTGTCTGTGGACAGGCCCCATAAACCTTGGTGCCTCATGGGACCCAAACAGGTGCTGAGCCCAAGTGGGAACGTGAATTCTGGTGTGAGGATAGAGTGGTAGGGGAAGGCTTTTGGAGGAAGCGGACTTTGAGTTGAGTCTTGCAGAAGGAGGATTTCAGGATGCACAAAAGAGGAACTGGTGTTCTTGGTGGAAGAAATGGACGCGTGCAAAGTCTGGGAAGTGTGTGTGCCCACACGGCTGGCACAGCCAGAGTGTGAGGCCCATGAAGGGGTGTGATGGGATGTGGATTTGGAACACTTGATATTACCATGATTATTGCCCTTAAAGCAGCGTCCACATTGGCCATAACCAATCTGGGCCTTGCTTCCCTCCTCTGTAACCTGGGGAGAATTGCTCTATTTCTTCTTGGGCCCACAATATGCCCTGGCAATAAATGAGTCCTATTTTCTCAAATTAACACATTAACCCAATGCTCAGAGGACACCTTTTACAGTCAGAAAAGCTCAGGCTCAAATCCCAGTTCTGCCCCTTCTTCACTGTGGAACTCCTGGTAAGCTTCTCTCTCTGTTTTTTTCCCCCAAGATGGAGTCTTGCTCCATTGCCCAGGCTGGAGTGCAGTGGCGCAATCTCAGCTCACTGCAACCTCCACCTCCCGCGTTCAAGCGATTCTCCTGCCTCAGCCTCCCAAGCAGCTGGGATTATAGGTGCCTGCCACCATGCCCAGCTAATTTTTTGTATTTTTAGTAGAGACAGGGTTTCACCATATTGGCCAGGCCGGCCTTGACCTCCCAAAGTGCTAGGATTACAGACATGAGCCACCGCGTCCAGCCAAGCTTCTCTTTACTGATCTGTAAAATGGGGATAACAAGCTCTACTCAGAAGGAGTGATCAACATAATTGTACATAAAGGCCGGGCGCAGCATGAGCCTGTGGAAACAGGAGTTCCTCGCCCCCCAACCCTGTCCCCACCTCCATAGAGGCTCTCACTTACATAGGAGGCCAGCAGGGTGGTCGGGGCCAGGACGAGAGCCAGGTAGAGGCAGGGGGCTGTGGCAAGCAGGCTGGAGGCGCAGATGAGGGGCTCAGCTCCTGGAATGACTTTCTTGTACCTCCTCGCAGCTTCTGCCCCCAAGATGACCCCAATGACGCCGGTCATGATGGTCAGTGCCCCAAAAATCAGGCTGATGGGGAAGAGCACAGAAGGGTTGGTCAGCTGGGTGAGCTTAGCATAGGGACTCTTATCCTGCTCCCAGCCCCAGGTCTAGCCCCTCGGCTCAAGTGCATGATCTGGTGTCTACAGGGAATATGGCTGTGGGCCCCTGACCTGACCCAGAACCTTACCCACCCTCCTCACTGATACTCCCAGGGACCAATGTCCCACTGCTCTCCCCTACCCCCTTTCCTGCCTCATCTCCTGTCTCATCCTGGGGATCCCACTGGCCATGTGGGTGATCACCCTGCACCCCAGGTCCCAGCCTGCCTCATCTCCATTGACCCTTACCCTTTCACCCCCCAAAACTGCCCCACTCAAAATCTGAATTCCAGGGTCCCACCCTGGCCCCAACCTTCTCTCTTTCCAGCTCCCAGTACTAAGAGGAATGGAGGGAAGCAAACATGTATTTACTGAGCCCCTGTGATACACCTGGCCCTTGTCTGGGCTCTCTACACGCCCTCCCTCCTTGAATCCCATCCTTCCACTCCCCGTCTTTGAACCCCTCTCAGGCAGCCCCTACCTGACTTCCGTCCCTTTCCCACCCACTTTTAGAGCCACTTCTACTCTGCTTGGCTTCCCCTTGTACATCCTTCCTGTGGAGACCTGTCCCTCCAAAATAACCTCCACAAAGGCTCCCCAGGAGTGCATTTTGTGGCAGGAGATCTGTGGTGGGAGGAGTTCCAGATCAGAAAGATTTTGTCTCTACAAAAAATTTTTAAATCATCCAGCCTTGGTGGCGTGCACCTGTAGTCCCAGCTACTCAGGAGGCTGAGGCGGGAGGATCGCTTGAGCTCAGAAGTTCGAGGCCACAGTGAGCTATGATCATACCACTGCACTCCAGCTTGGGCAACAATTCCCAGATGGATAGGTGAGCAAGGTGAGGCTGAGAAAAGTCAAGGCCAAGATTACCCAGCTGGTAAATTACAGACCAGGATTTGAATATACTTCTTCACCCTCCTGGTCCATTGTGCAACCTCCAGCCCCCTTTTAAAGGAGCTCAAAGGGGACCAGGCAAGGTGGCTTAAGCTTGTAATCCCAGCACTTTGGGAGGCCGAGGTGGGTGGATCACTTGAGGTCAGGAATTCAAGACCAGCCTGGCCGATACAGCAAAACCCCGTCTCTACTAAAAAAAAAAAAAAATACAAAAATTAGCTGGGAACAGTGGTGGGCACCTGTAATCCCAGCCCACTCAGGAGGTTGAGGCAGGAGAATCACTTGAATCCGGGAGGTGGAGGTTGCAGTGAGCTGAGATCACACCACTGCACTCCAGCCTGGGCAAGAGAGCAAGACTCCGTCTCAAAAACAAAACAAAACAAAACAAATAAAGGAGCTCAAAGGGAACGCTGAGACTGTGCCCACTGTGAACTCTTGAAAACACCAGTCCAACCAGGATCTTTCCAACCTCTCAATAGCTCCCTGTCGTCCTCTGAGCAAGCTCCTGACCAGCACTGATGACTCTGCGGGACTGGTCCACGCTGACCGATGTAGCTTGCCCTCTCTTCTCCCACCCTCACTTTGCACAAATGACTGAGAATTCTCTAAATTCTCTACCAAAAGTACAAAAATTAGCTGGGCGTGGTGGTGTGCGCCTGTAGTCCCAGCTACTTGGGAGGCTGAGGCAGGAGAATCGCTTGAACCCGGGAGGCCGAGGTTGCAGTGAGCCGAGATCGTGCTACTGCACTCCAGCCTAGCAACACAGCAAGACTCTGTCTCAAATGGAAAAAAAAAAAAAACAAAGAAGAAGAAGAAGAAGTGCTTTCTAAACCTTCCCAGGCTTCCAAGCTGTGCGAGGTCTGGCTCAGCCCAGTCAAATGACCCAAATCCCGGATGTATGCTAGCTGCCTCTGAGTCCTGGTCTGGGCTGACCTTGGCAGGTTCTCGAGATATTCATGAGACTTAGGATTGATTATTTAGACAGGCTGCCTGAAAATGCACCCCCGCCAGCCCCTAAGCAGGAGGGGCAGCCAGAGGACATGCCCCAGCTACCAAGCCCTTCATGTTCCCTCCATCCACACAGGGCCCTCCCAGCATCACAGACTCTTACAGCCAAGAGAGCCCTTAAGGATCTGTAAGTTCGGCCGGGCACGGTGGCTCACGCCTGTAATTCCAGCACTTCGGGAGGCTGAGGCGGGCCAGTCATTCGAGGTCAGGAGTCCGAGACCAGCCTGCCCAACATGGTGAAACCCCATCTCTACTAAAAATACAAAAAAAAAAAAAAAAATAGCTGGGCATGGTAGCACATGCCTGTAATCTTAGCTACTCGGGAGGCTGAGGTAGGAGAATCACTTGAACCTGGGAGGTGGAAACTGCAGTCAGCCAAGATTGTGCCACTGCACTCCAGCCTGGGCAACGAGAGTGAAACTCTGTCTCAAAAAAAAATAAATAAAATAAAATAAAATAAAAATAGCCAGGCATGGTGGCGTGTGCCTGTGGTCCCAGCTACTTGGGAGGCTGAGGTGGGAGGATTGCTTAAGCCTGGGAGGTCGAGGCTGCAGCGAACTGTGTTTGTACCACTGCACTCCAGCCTGGTGACAGAGTGAGACCTTGACTCAAAAAAGAAAGAAAAGAAGAGAAGTAAGGAAGGGAGGGAGGGAAGGAGGGAGGGAGGGGTAGGGAGAGAGAGAGAGAGGAGGGGAGAGGGAGAGGGAGAGGGAGGGAGGGAGAAAGAAAGAAAGAGAGAAGGAAGGAGAGAAGAGAAGAGAGGAGAAGAGAGAAAAGAGGAGGAAGGAGGAGGAGGAGGGAAGGAGAAGGTAGGCGTGGGTGCAGTCAGCAGAGGACGAGTGTCGCCAAAACCCTGGGGGAGGATGGAGCTCCAGGGAAGAAGATAGCATCCCCAGGAGCCCCCAGGACCCACCAGGACAGGGTCAGAGAGGAGGAGGGGACTGCAAGGAGGCTGGAGAGCAGCCCCTGGAGGCAGGGAGGAGGCCGGGGTGAAGGGTTCCAGGAGGAGGAGGAGAGAAGGAAGGGAGGATTGAAGGATGTCCTTGACTCAGCATCAAGTGGTCACTGGAGCTCTTGGAGAACAGGGTCAAAGGCGATAGGAACAGAAGTGGAGCCCAGCCGGGCAGCAGACAGCCAGGCAGGAAGCGGGAGAGGGCGTGCCCTGAGGGCAGAGTGCCCGCGCCTCCCCTCCCGGCAGCCTTCCCACACACGTGAAATCCCAAAACCAGCGAAGTAACAAGGCCTCCCAGGCCCCAGTTTGCCATCTGTAAAATGGGATGCCCTCACAGAAGACGCTACAGGCCCCTCTAAAGGGTGGCTGCCTAAGGCTCCTCTCATCCCACAGCCCCACAGAAGCCTCACCCCCATTTCCAACCAGTGCCTTCTGGAGCCCACAGCAGCCCCAAGAGTGGAGATATGGGGAATTCAGCCCAGAGAGGACAAGAGAGTTGGCCATGGCCACCCAGAGTGGCAGAGGCTCAGCCAGAGCCAGAGCCAGGCCTCCTGCTGCCATCTGGGTCCTGAGCTCCACTGTCTTCACACAGCACCAAATGCCCCACCCCAAGAAACTGAATTTTGGAGCTCAGAACCTCAGAACTTCCTCAGCAAGAGCCCCCGAGCCGGGCCAGGTGCCCAGGGCCCCCGGATGCCCTCACCTGTCGGGGTTGCTGCACGGCTCCTGGAAGCAGGGAGGCTGCAGCCCGTGAACCACGCGTGCCTCGAGCAGAAACTTGGGGGCCCAGAACCCCAGGGCTCCAGTCACAAAGGCCATGGCGGTCACTCCGAGGGTCGACCACACGAAACTCCAGCTGCAAGACGAGGTGCCCCAGCTGGAGTTGGGAGAGGGCTGGGGCTGAAGGGGCCTGTCCACTCCTCCCCACTCCTGGGCAGTCTAGGAACTTTCCCATCTTGTCTCATTACCTTCAAGATTCCATAGGTAGCATTTGCTACCCCCTCTTTACAGATAGGCAAACTGAGGCTCCGAAGAAGAAGACACTCAGGTTACCCCAAGCTCCAGCCTCCAGATCCTTCCTGGCAGCACCCTGAGCTCCAGCCTCCCCAACATTTCTGAGACCCCCCCAACTCACACACCTTGCCTCCTCCTCCCTCCTCTCTGCAGGACCAAATCTCCCCATCCTGGGAGGCCCCCATCCAGCATCACATTCTCCAGGAAGCTGTCCCTGCCTGCCCTGTCTTCCTCTGAGTCCTCCCGACCAGTTTCACAGCTCAGTAACAGAATTGAATCCTGTCCATGCCCTGCCTTGCAGTGAATCATGAGGCCTGGGACCAGCAATTGACTCCTGCCTGCCTCCCCCAGCATGGCTGGCACAGAGGATCATGCACGCCATGAGGCTTGGAGAGGTGAGTGATGAATTCCCAGCATCCTCCCAGCAACCCGGAGAAGGGGGCAAGGCTGGAGAATTCCATCCATTGAATACAAAGGACGTTGAGGCTCTGAGTGCTGGAGCCACTTATGGGCAGGGCAGAGGGAAGGCTGGGGCTCACGCCATCTCCCTCCCACTCTGTCCATATTTCTGTCACATGGCAAGGTGATGGAGGCTGAGCCCTAAGGGAGGGAGAGGCACTTCAGTTGGTAAGTGCGATCTCAGAGGAAGAGGAGGGCTGTGAACACTGGGACAACCAGGGAGGGCTCCCTGGAGGTGGAGAGAGGGGGTCAATGATGCTGGGGCAGACAAACGGGCTTTTCTGTGCCTTGCAGGGGGTAGCAGGGATACTCACTTTTTCCCCAGGTATCTGACGTCCTCACACCAGCTGCTCCTGAAGCCTCCCACGGCCCCCTCCCCCTGTGTCTCGGCAGCTCCCCGGGGTGGGTCTGGAACCAGCAGGATAAGCAGGATCAAGGCCACGGCCTCCAGGCAGGGCATGACCTGGGGACAGGAGGGCCCAGGAAGCTCAGGGCCGCATATTATCACAGCCCAAGGGACCCCCGGGGGCAACTGGCCACAGTATCAGCCAGTGGCTGACCTCTGGTTTCCAAGCCCTGGGGGTAGTGGGGGTGACCTGATTCCTGGATGCTGGTATCCACAGAGCAGGATGTACCACTGTTTCTCAGCCCTCACCACTGCAGCCTTTCCAGGGAGTGGAGACTCTTTGGGACTTCATGTAATTCCCGTCTTTCCAGTACAGACACCAGTCTTTTGAGGTCAGTGGGCCTGAGACGGTTGAGAACAGGGACCCTCGCTACACTGGCCCTGCCTCCTGAGTACTTGCTGTCCTAGAGCTGATCTTTCCCTGGCCCAGGCCTCCATCTGCCACACAGTCCTGCCCTGGCATCCTCTCCTAGCGGCCCCTCTGCTCAAACCCCAAGGACGGGGATCTCACTACCCACCTTGGGGCAGCCTTCAAACAGCTGAGACCATGAGAAGGTTTATTCAAGCCAGGTCAGACCTGCCTCCTTGAAGCCCACCCCACCCCCAAAATTCCAAATCTGGCTTCAGCACTTCACACGCCAGCTCCCCGGCACTGGGCTGGCTCCACAGTGGTCTGCGCGCAGCCTGCATTCCCACCAAGCTGCACTCCCAGGGCTGAGCTCAGCACCCTCCACTATGGAGTTCCTTCCTCTTCAGAATGGTCCCTCTCCATGCCCACGTTGGAAACACAAGGGCTGGAGCCCCAGCGGGGCCTGCCCGGCATCTTCTTGAGCATTCTGCTGAACTGCTGAGCAAGCCTAGCTGCCAGTCCTCAAGGGCCTACTCTACACCCTGACCCTGCGGCTTGGAACTTCCATCTCTCATCTCACTGATCCTCAAGATGCCTTAGGTAGCATTTAGTACCCCCGCTTTACCGACAGGCAAACTGAGGCTCTGAAGAAGAAGGTGATCTGCTTGAGATCACACAGCTGGTAAACTAAGCAGCCAGCTTTTGAGCCCACGGCCACCACTTCCACACCCCATGCTCCCTATGAGGCCCCACATGTCCAAAGCTGCCGATGCCTGACCACCACCCCCCGTCCCCCTAATGGCGCCGGGTGCTACGCCAAGTGGCTAAGGTCACCCAAGGCTGGAAAGTCCCTGCCGGTCCAGAGGGAAAGCAGAGGGAAGAAAAGGAAGCTGGACTCACTCGGAGGGCCCAGCGCCAGTTCCCAGTCAGCATCGTCACAGCCGACCCCAGCACGTAGCCCAGACCACTGCAACAAAGGGGCAGGGGCGATGGGCTGTGAGGGGAGGGAGGCGGAAGGCAGACCCCACCACCAGCCTGACCCAGGGTGCCCCCCCCACGCCCCAGGGAGCTGGCTCTCTGCAGGCTCAGACCTGTTTCACTGAGGAAAGTAAGCCACGTGAGGCCCAGATGTCCACTGCCCTCGGTCAGGTCACCAGTGACCTCTGGCTCCTGGCCCACCCCCAGCGCCACTCTCTCCACCTATGGAAACACATACCCTACACCCTCCTGCCCAAGGCTGGGCCCTGCTTGAGTCAGGCAAGTTCAGGAAACCTGGGTCAGAGGCCAGGGTCCTGATTGCAAATCCTGCTCTGGCCTAGCCTGTTGTGGGGTGCAGGGCCTGGCCCTAACACGCTTCCTCACCTTACCTCCCATAGCCGGCCCTTCCCTGGGTGGGCCACACTGCCGAGTGTGTGAATCTATACGGCACATCCTCATCACCTCTATTCCTCCCCAAGCCCATCAGCTGGTGTCACTGCCCCCGTTTACAGATGAGGAAACTGAGGCTAGGAGAGGTAGACTCACATGGTGAGGGAGGGGTAGCATTGGGACTCAAATCCCAGCCCTCCTGGTTTGACCTCTCCTACCCAGGTCCAGCCCCTGTTCTGACTCCTTTGGGCCTCAGTTTACCACCTGGGGAAGTAGACCCACGGGTGATACCAACCTTCCAACGGGGATAAAGATGTAGAAGACAGCCAGCACGCGGGTGCGCTGGTCCCTCACGAAGAGGTCGCCCAGGACGGTGGGCGCGATGGTGGAGTAGCTGGCCGAGCCAGTGCCCACGATGCCCCGGGACAGGAAGAAGAGCCAAGAATACTGGGCGAGCAGGCACAAGACCACGGTGAGTTCCAGAAATCACCCATAGGGCCAGGGACCCGAGGGTTTGTCGGAGGAGCCAAGGGGACCTCATGACACAGGACCCCAGAGTAGGGAGAGGGGATCGGGGCTACAGACACCTCTCCACTCCAGGTTCCCAAAGTCAAACGTGTGTCCCCTGCAGCCACCACCTGCCCCCCTGCCCAGGGGAGCCCTTTTCCTGGGTCCCACCATTGCTAACCAGGCCAGTTCCCCAAGACAGCAGCTGTTACCCCCAGCCCCACCCCCAGCAGAGTCGGGCAGAAATGAAGCTGGTGCGGCAGTGAGAGGTAGGAGAGAGGGGGCCTCCTGTTAAGAAAGTCCACTGGCTTGGCCAGGCATGGTGGCTCACGCCTGTAATCCCAGCACTTTAGGAGGCCGAGGTGGGTGGATCACCTGAGGCTGGGAGTTCGAGACCAGCCTGGCCCACATGGTGAAACCCTGTCTCTACTAAAAAATACAAAAATTAGCTGGGCGTGGTGGCACGCGCCTGGTATCCCAGCTACTCTGGAGGCTGAGACAGGAGAATTGCTTGAACTCGGGAGGCAGAGTTTGCAGTGAGTCGAGATCACGCCATTGCACTCCAGCCTGGGCAACAAGAGCGAAATTCTGTCTCAAAAAAAAAAAAAAAAAGTCCACCAGCTCTGCCCTGTGCAGACTCAGGCTGGAGACTGGAGACTGTGCTCTCACCTTCTCTCCCAGCCCTCAGTGCAATCCCTGATCCAGTCACAGCCAGGAATGGAGCAGAATTGTCCCCACGCAGCTCTGACGGGGCTGAATCAGGGAGGAAGCAGGTGGGGAAGGGGCCTCAGGGGCCTGGACAGGGGCATGGACACGTACCCGGGGGGAGATGAAGGAGCTAGAGAGGCCAGCTCCTGACCACAGCAAGATACCGAAGCTCATGGTAGCCTTGCGGCTATGTCGGTCGCCCAGGTAGCCAAACACAGGTGCAGACAGCAGCAGGCAGCTAACGAAGACTGAAGGAGACACACAGGGGCAGCCTGGATCCCCCCACGACCGTGGCAGGGCAGATGGCCCAGCAGGCCCAGGGAAGGAGCCTGACTCAGATGCCACAAGCTGGCATCTTGGCAGTGGGCCCAGGGTATGAGGAAGAAAAGATAAGGTGAACCTCACAGTGCGTGGCCAACATGCAGCCGCAGCCCAGAGTGTGGAGGCCTCAATCTGGCCCCAAACCCAAAGCCCAGCTCTGCCGCTTGCTCTGAGTGTCACCCCAACACTGGAGAGGTCACCATCCTCTCCCAGGATGGTGAAGGTGAGATGGGAACTGAATGCGGAGCGTCAGGCATGGAGCAGATGCCAGTTTCCCGGCTTTACAAACACACATGACCCCCGTGAGCCTGGATATGGGGACAGGTCTGATTTTTCATTCATGCACCTACTGGGGCAACGGGGAGCAGGGAAAGAGGGAAGTCAGCCTGGGCCTACTCTGAGCAGCAGATGAGGACGCTTTAGAATGAGCACACTGGGCCGGGCGCGGTGGCTCACGCCTGTAATCCCAGCACTTTGGGAGGCTGAGGCGGGCAGATTGCCTGAGCTCAGGAGTTTAAGACCAGCCTGGGCAACATAGTGAAACCCCATCTCTACTAAAAAAAAAAATACAAAAAAATTAGCCAGGTGTGATGGTGGGCATCTGTACTCCCAGCTACTCGAGAGGATGAGGCACAAGAATCGTTTGAACCTGGGAGGCGGAGGTTGCAGTGAGCCGGGATCACGCCACTGCACTCCAGCCTGGGCGACAGAGCAAGACTTGGTCTCAAAAAAAAAAAAGAATAAGCATATTGACTGTGAACTAGTGATGATTCCAGGAAGCCAGGAAAAAGTTGGTTTTCCTACATAGGTAAAATGTTCCCTGGACACAGCTGCATTTATACTTTTATTTTACTTTTTGAGACAAAGTCTCGCTCTGTCACCCAGGCTGGAGTGCAGTGGTTCAATCTCAGCTCCCTGCAGCCTCTGCCTCCTGGCCTCAAGCCATCCTCCCATCTCAGCCTCCAGAGTAGTTGAGACTACAGGCAAGTACCACCACACCTGGCTAATTTTTGTAGTTTTTGCACAGACGGGGTTTCACCATCTTGTGCAGGCTGGTCTCGAACTCCTGGGCTCAAGGGATCCGCCCACCTCGGCCTCCTAAAGTGCTGGGGTTACAGGCGTGGGCCACTGTGCCCGGCCCACTGTCCATTTTTCTATTGGGCTGTTGTTTGTTAATATGTTTTGGAAATAAGTTCCCATAGTCTTTTATATTTGTTTTAAGAATTAGAAACGCAACTTCTGGGACTAAGTTGGCTGGGTTTAAATCCTGGCTCACCACTTTCTAGCTATGTGACCTTTGGTAGATTCCTTAACTCTTCGTGTTCCCCTTTCATCAACAGTGCTATTCCCTTGTTTGGTTACTGAGAGAATTAAGTAAAATAAAGCACATAAAAGTTATCTGCATAGCTTCATGTAAATGTCCAATAAATGTTATCTATTATTATTACTGATTGCATAATTTCAATCACCATCATACGGAAGTGTTTAGCTTTGTAGTCAAATTTATTAACCTTCTGGAGGGGCAAGTGTTATTTCATATCTTGTTTATGCATATCTTCTTTATCCAAAAGTTATAAAACTATTTCCCAGCTGGACGCGGTGGCTCACGCCTGTAATCCCAGCACTTTGGGAAGCCAAGGCCGGTGGATCACCCGAGGTCAGGAGTTCGAGACCAGCCGGGCCAACATGGTAAAATCCCATCTCTACTAAAAATACAGAAGTTAGCTGAGCATGGTGGCGGGCGCCTGTAATCCCAGCTACTGGGGAGGCTGAGGGAGAAGAATTGCTTGAACCTGGGAGGTGGAGGTTGCAGTGAGCTGAGATCGCACCACTGCACTCCAGCCTGTGTGACAGAGCGAGAGTCTCTCTCAAAAAAAAAAACAAAAAGCAAACAAACAACAACAAATATGTATATATCCTCATATTCCTCACATGCAGGGATCACTTGCAGGCTGTTTTAAGTGCCTTAAACCTGCAGACGCTCTGTGAATCTGCAGATGCCCTTCCCAAGGGGAAAACAGACACTCCTCATTCCCAAGGTCTCCTAATTCAAATCATTTCTGTGACACAGTGGGTGAAATGAATGCTCCCAGAGTTAAAAGACAGACTCTGGAGGCACACTTCCTGGATTCAAATCCCAGCTTCAGCAAGTCTCATAACTTCTCTGAGCCTCAGTTTCATCATCTGTAAAATGGACATAATAGTAAAACCTGCCTGGTGGGATTGTCGTGAAGATTAAATAAGTTGATATTTAAAGCACTTAGAATCGTGCCTGACATGTGGTAAGGGCCAAGTCAGTGTTAGTTTTAAATATTATTAATTAATGAACTCACTCCAGCAGCTTCTCTATCCCATGGGTGGCTGGAGGGAGCCTGACCACTGCCTCTTCTCACTTTCCACTCCTCTTCTCTTTTTTTGTTTTTTTTTTGAGACAGTCTTGCTCTGTGGCCCAGTCTGGAGTGCAGTGGCACGATCTCAGCTCACTGCAACCCCTGCCTTCTGGGTTCAAGTGATTCTCCTGCCTCAGCCTCCCAAGTAGCTGGGATTCCAGGCACCTGCCACCACACCTGGCTAATTTTTGTATTTTTAGTAGAGACGAGGTTTCACCATGTTGGCCAGGCTGGTCTCAAACTCCCGACCTCAGGTGATCCACCCAGCCTCCCAAAGTGCTGGGATTACAGGCGTGAGCCACCGTGCCCAGCCCAACCCCTCTATCTCTTCAACACCCTCTCTCTCAGTCATCAGTTTCCTCTTCTCAGCAGCCCTGTGGACAGACAACAGGCTGGGTCTAGGGCCATAGCACGGTAACCGGAAAAGGTAAAGAGACTCACCTGAGGCCACCAGAGACCAGCCTGGTCATCAGGCCTCTAAGCCCACTGTCCTTTCATGAAATTTTTGAGCTGCTTCTGCAAAGATGACCTTTCTCTTCACCTACTGCCAAACACACACACACACACACACACACACACACACACTTCTCCCTCCGTGGCCCAGGACTTGTAGTAATAATCTTGACCACTACGGTAAGAACCATACTATGGTAAGGGCCAGTGTGGTGGCTCACGTCTGTAATCTCAACACTTTGGGAGGTCAAGGCTGGTGGACCACTTGAGGTCAGGAGTTCGAGACCAGCCTGGCCAACATGGTGAGACCCCCCCCAACACACCCCCACCATCTCTATTAAAAGTACAAAAATCAGCCTGGCATGATGGCAGGTGCCTGTAATTCCAGCTACTTGGGAGGCTGAGGCAGGAGAATCACTTGAACCCAGGAGTCAGAGGTTGCAGTGAGCCGAGATCATGCCATTGCACTCCAGCCTGAGCAATAAGAGCAAAACTCCGTCTCAAGAAAAAAAGGAAAAAAAAAGAACCAGTGAAGGGAAATGTTGACTAAACCACCATTATCTATTTAATCGAGAAGGTTGTGGGTGTTGAACCAAGATGGTCTCACTTTGGCCACAGATATGGCTGGAAGATCAGCATCAGCTGCTGTCTCTTGGCCACAAGATTGAGGGGCAATTGGAAACCATGCATGTTCTAAAGCCATGATCTTCTAACTGTTGCTCACGTAACTCTTTTGTCTTTTTTTTTTCCTTTCTGTGGAGAATAGGGTCTCACTATATTGCCCAAGCAGGTCTCGAACTCCTGGGCTCAAGCTATTCTCCCGCCTCTGCCTCCCTAAGAGCTGGGATTACAGGCGTGAGCCACTGCACCTGGCTCTCATGTCACTCTTAAAGAAGTTTCTAGAACTATGTACTCCTCCACACATTTTCAGCTAACATTAAAATGTTCTTATCCCAAGTTTGAATCGTTGCCAAGGATGGGATTTCCAGCGTTGTTGTGTATTTTTTTAAACTGTATTTTCATCCAAACTCTTGGAGCTACAGGGTTGAGTTTATTCAGTTTATGGGAAATGTCTACAGTAGAATCTAAGTAATAATGCCTGTCCTCTTTTGCCAAAGCAATTAGACGTCAAACTGATTATAAGAAAAATGTTGGCTTCATTTTCTTTCATTGAAAGAAATGTGTTGACATGCATCCCTGAGACCGCTATCTCACTTTGAATTCTAATTTGTAGATAAATAGTAGACACTGCACACGGGAACAGCTAGATAAGGCTTGGCTCCTTGCCTGCGCTTGTAGCCTGGGGCAAATCTCCCCAGCACGTTTCTCTTGATGCTCTCTGCTTTGCTCCCAAGGTCCCCCTGGGAAAAGCCGAGCATCCACGCAGGGGCCTCTGTTTGATACCCCAGAGGTTTTTACACCCAGGAGCAGCACATCCAGGATGCGGAGAGGAGTCCCTTTCTGTTTACCATGGTAGACAGGGAATTGTACAATGGAAGGAGAGGAAGGAGAACCACAGGCCGACCACAGGCTCCCCCTCAGGCAGGTCATTTTAGGAAAAAAACATACAGGCTTGAGAATCTAGAAATAAATCAGTCTCTCAAAACTCTCTGTGTTCATGTAACCCCTGGAAAGTGACTGTGTATCCCCAGGGATCCCTGTACCCCGGTTTAAGAGCCATGTTCTAAAGCCCTGAGATGATGGACTGTGAGGACCCTCGGTGCCTGCTGGTTACAGCCTGGGTGTGTGCACAGGCGTATCACGTGTTGTGACCATGTGTGTGCACATGTGGGTGTGTGGATATGCACACTGTGGGTGTGTGTCACCATCCAGGCACCCACAAGGGAAAAGCTAACGCCTCATGACCCCAACCGCTCTGATGTTGCGATGGGACGTGTGGCTGCTCCCTGCTGCTGGGTGTCAGGCTGTCTGTGGGCCCAGAGTCCATCTGAGCCCATGTGGGGGGATGTGCCTGTCTGTGTCTGTCTGTTTGACTTTGTGTGTCCCAGTAGTCAGATTTTTCAGTTCTGTGAGAGGAAAGCACACATCAGGATTTCTCAAAGCCCAGCAAGCCTCTGGTGCACCGCTGAGCCTCACCAACACGAAGGGAAGGAATGGCCAGCTCCACAGCGAGGACCTGAGGCTGAGGGACCTCTCCCAGCCCCACCTCCCCCTGCTCTCCCGCGGCACCCTACACTCAAACTACCATGGCTGTTCCAGCCCAGGCTCTCTCCTGCTCCTGCCTAGACTGTCCCTCAGGCCCATACCCCACCCACCCTCTGTGCCAGGGGACCCAGTGGGGCTGGAGCTGGGCACAGAACATGACCCACAGAAAGAGCCCACCCCAGCATGAACCCAGGGCCCCGGCTCCAGAGCCAGGGCTCCTCCTTACCAGTCTGAAGCAAACCAGCATGGTTGTCACTGATCTGGAAAACCTCCTGTATATCCAGCAGCACTCCTGCAGACAGAGGGACAGTGCTCAGGAAACGGGAAGTAGCCCTCCTGGCCTCTAAAGGCAGCTGCTCCAGGTTTGGCACAGGGCCACAGCTGACCAGCACAGCACAGGGCATGGCACCCAAGCCCACTGTTCTCTCCCCCTCTCTCCCATACAGCTGTACAACCACACACACAAGAGCAGGCACACAGAGAAACGTGTGCATTTCAAACACTCAAAGAAACAAGCATCCCTTGGCTGGGCACGGTGGCTCACGCCTGTAATCTCAGCAGTTTGGGAGGCCAAGGCTGGCGGATCACCTGAGGTCAGGAGCTTGAGACCAGCCATGGTCAACGTGGTGAAACCCCGTCTCTACTAAAAGTACAAAAAATTAGCCGGACGTGGTGGCGGGCGCCTGTAATCCCAGCTACTCGGGAGGCTGAGGCAGGAGAATTGCTTGAGCCTGGGAGGTGGAGGTTGCAGTGAGCCGAGATCGCGCCATTGCACTCCAGCCTGGGCAACAAGAGCCACGCTCCATCTCAAAAAAAAAAGAAAGAAAAAGAAAGAAAGAAGCATCCCAAAGGCACAGACATTCACACACACACACTGACACATAAGCACGCAGCCACACGGCTCCTTCCCTCCTCTTCATATGGGAACACAGATATAGATACAAACAGGCATTCCCAGAGAAACACACCTGCAGAGGCACAAATACACACACACACACACACACACACAGGAACTCACTCTCACAGACATGTACACCCAGCCTCACTCATACACCCAGACACACAGACACATGTGCAGTGAGATGTGCACCCAGAGGCCTGCCCGCGTATGCACAGGCTCAGGGCTGCCATCCACACTGCAGTCAGAGGAGCGGCAGCCCCCTGTCGCTGCTCAGTGCACAGCCCTTTACTTAGGCCACTGTGTAAACGGAAGTCCCTGGAGCTGTACAGCACAGTGGCCTCGCTCATGCACAAACACTGGAAATGCATAGGTGAACATGTACATAAAAAGACGAACGTGTCCTGGCTTGCACGCATGTGCACACACAAGCCTGTTCTTCCAGAGGCACAGCAGTGGGCACCCAGCCTAATGTAGAGAGAGAAAGTGGGTCTCCCAGACACCAGGGTCTGTTTCCTGATAGCCTCTTGGTGTCCTAGAAAGGGTCGGGGTCTGCAGCACCTGCTCACGTGAGCCATGCGGCTCTGGCCCTGTCATTATTATGAAGAAGAACAATCCTCACTTTCATCAGTCAGGAGGTGACTGACAGCCAGGCCCTGAGCTGTACACTCGCAGTTGTCATCCTAAAAGAGGGGGACTGTCATTGCCCCCATTCTACAGATGAGGAAACAGAGGCTTTAGCGGCCCAAGGTTGCCCGTCTGAAGCTGGGGGAGCTGGGGCTCAAATCTCAGCCAGAGGCAGCCTGTCCACACACCCAGAACCACAGAAGGGGAGCAGAAGCCCCCAAGTGGGTCCCCGCAGAAACACCCACACCAAGAAAGCCCTGCGTGCACACCTCTAAGAGCTGCCCCATGCACATGAAGATCAAGGGATCAGAGGAGCAAAGCAAAAAATCCTTGCTCAGGGAGGGACGTGGTGGCTCACGCCTGTAATCCCAGCACTTTGGGAGGCCGAGGCCGGCAGATCTTGAGGTCAGGAGATCAAGACCATCGTGGCTAACACAGTGAAATCCCATCTCTATTTAAAAATACAAAAAATTAGCCAGATGTTGTGGCACAGGCCTGTAGTCCCAGCTACTCAGGAGGCTGAGGCAGGAGAATCGCTTGAACCTGGGAGGCGGAGGTTGCAGTGAGCTGAGATCATGCCACTGCACTCCAGCCTGGGCGACAGAGTGAGACTCCGTCTCCAAAAAAAAAAAAAAAGAAATCTTTGTTTAGACATTTAATTTGTCCCCAATTGCCACTGCAACCTGGCATACAAACTGTTATGTCTTTTTCCCCTTTTAATATTTTGTTTTTTATTTTTATTTTATTTATTTATTTTTGAGACTGAATCTCACTATTTCATCCAGGCTGAAGTGCAGTGACACGATCTCAGCTCACTGCAACCTCTGCCTCCTGGGTTCAGGCAATTTTCCTGCCTCGGCCTCCCAAGTAGCTGGGATTACAGGTGCCCGCCATCACGCCTGGCTAATTTTTGTATTTTTAGTAGAGACGGGGTTTCACCATTTTGGCCAGTCTGGTCTCGAACTCCTGATCTCAGGTGATCCACCTGCCTCGGCCTCTCAAAGTCCCCCTTTTATTATTTTAAATACACAAAGAAGACAGTCATTGGAAAGAAAAAAAGGAGACAACACAGGTAAGCAAAATAAATAGCTAAACGAAAATGCTCCAAATTGTGCCCATCTTCCATTTTCAGGAATGAGGACTCATCCCCTTGTTTTCTCTCCTCCTGGGCTCCTCTCAGCCCCATGGTACTCTAGAGGTGATCCAGAGCCAAGCGTGCACCCACCCTTGCTTTCATCTGTAGCCTACCACCCTGGCCCCATAAGAGCTGTTTCCTGCAAGAACATTTTAGCTGTTTACCCCCACCAGTTCCCAGATGCTCAGCACGGTTTCACTTCTCCAGGTCTCTATCCCCACAGTAACCACAGCCCCCTTTCTTGCACATACAGAGGAAGTGCTGATGGAGAAGGGACCTGGACAGGCAAGACTCAGGGTCTTAGGGCCCAGCCAGGGACCTCCAGGGCTAGCGGCAGAGATAGCGGGTCCCCAGGCTCGTGGGTTCAGAGAGCTCCACACTGGTGATTCCTGGCTCCCATCCACCTCTTGCCCCTTCTCGCCTTTGCGTGCCCTTGGCCCACACTCCAACTCAGGCCTCCTCAGCTTTGGCCTGATCCACTACAGCAGCCTCTGAACTGACTCCCTGGCTCATTTTGCCTCCATCAGGGCCTCAAATCCAATTATATGGCTCCCCATTGCCCAAGGCAGAAAGTCCAAGCTCCCAGTCTGGCACCCAAGAAGCTCTGTTCTCACCCCATACACCCCTTTGGGGTTTTTTGTTTCATGTGTTTTGTTTTGCTTTGTTTTGGCTTTTTGTCTTTAGGGGTTTAGATAAGATCTTGCTCTGTCACTCAGGCTAGAGGGCTCACCGCAGCCTCAAGCAATCCTCCCGCTTCAGCCTCAAGCAATCCTCCTGCTTCAGCCTCAAGCAATCCTCCTGCTTCAGCCTCCCGAGAGGCTGAAGACATCACTGTCCCTGGCTAATTTTTTAAATTTTTTGTAGAGACAAGGTTTTTCTATGTTACCCAGGCTGGTCTCGAACTCCTGACCTCATGTGAGGAGAAGCTCCTGACCTCTGAGCTCCTCAAAGACGATGACCAGGTCTGGGGATGGCTCTGCAGCCCCTAGAGTTTCATGATTCCATAGCCACTCTCTGGCATGCTGAGCTGGTAACTGACAGATCGATGCCCAGGTCTCAGAGATGCCTGGCAGCTGCAGGCACCCTCCTGAGCTCCCAGCCCGGCCTGTGCCTCCCCCTTGTCTGGCCGCACCTCTCCGCCTCGCAGGACTGCCATCAACCAGCCTCTATCTCTGCCCCATGAGATGGTCATTCCTGAGTTCAGGAACTCCAAGTCCGATTTCCTCCCTGGGTCCACAGCAGCCAGCAGGGGGTCCTGCCCACAGTTAGTGCTCAGCCGGTCTTGAATGAATGAATGACAAGAAGAGAAGAGCAAGTGGAGCCTCAATCAGCTGTTGTTATTGTTGTTGTCTTTGTTTGAGACGGAGTCTCGCTCTGTCGCCCAGGCTGGAGTGCAGTGGCACGATCTCAGCTCACCGCAACCTCCGCCTCCCGGGTTCAAGCGACTGTCCTGCCTCAGCCTCCCGAGTAGCTGGGATTACAGGCGTGAGCCACCACGCCTGGCCCCTGATCAGTCTTGAATGAATGAATGAGTGAGTGAGTTAGTGAATGAGTGACAGAAGACAGAGCAGGTTGAGCCCTGAAGCCTGCAAGAAGGAAGGCAGGACGTGTGAGGTTTGCGAGCAGCCTGTTGTCCTAGAAACACAGCCAGCAGGAGCTATTCTTGTCTGGCCCAGGCTACCCTGTCCTCCACCTAGAACCTGGGGGCCTCTGCCTGGAAGTCCTGCCTGCTGTCCTCACCCACCCACCCCTCATTATGTCTCTGGCCCCACCCCCACTGTGCCCTCCCTTAATTTTTAAAAAATATTTATTTATTTATTTATTTTTTATTTTTTATTTTTTTTTTTTTGAGACAGAGCCTTGCTCTGTCGCCCAGACTGGAGTGCAATGGTGGGATCTTGGCTCAATGGTGGGATCTCGGCTCACTGCAACATCCACCTCCCAGGTTCAAGCAATTCTCTGCCTCAGCCTCCCCAGTAGCTGAGATTACAGGTGCCCGCTACCATGCTCGGCTAATTTTTGTAGTTTTAGTAGAGACGGGGTTTCACCATGTTGCCCAGGCTGGTCACAAAGTCCTCACTTCAAGTGATCCGCCCACCTTGGCCTCCCACAGTGCTGGGATTACAGGCCTGAGCCACCGCACCCAGCCCTAAAATATTTTTAATTTTTTAAATAGAGACAGAGTTTCGGCTGGGCGCAGGGGCTCATGCCTATAATCCCAACACTTTGGGAGGCCGAGGCAGGCGGATCACCTGAGGTCTGGAGTTCGAGACAGCCTGGCATACACGGCAAAACCCCGTCTCTACTAAAAATACAAAAACTAGCCTGGCATGGTGGTATGCGCCTGTAGTCCCAGCTACTCGGGAGGCTGAGATAGGAATCGCTTGAACCTGGGAGGCAGAAGTTGCAGTGAGCCGAGATCGCGCCACTGCACTCCAGCCTGGGCAACAGATTGAGACTCTGTCTCAAGAAAAAAAAAAAAGGCCGGGCACGGTGGCTCATGCCTGTAATCCCAGCACTTTGGGAGGCCGAGGCGGGTGGATCACCTGAGGTCAGGAGTTCGAGACCAGCCTGACTAGCATGGTAAAACCCCGTCCCTACTCCTCCTCTACTCAAAATACAAAAATTAGCCGGATGTGGTGGTGCACGCCTGTAATCCCAGCTACTCGGGAGGCTGAGGCAGGAGAATCACTTGAACCTGGGAGACAGAGGTTGCAGTGAGCTGAGATTGCGCCACTACACTCCAGCCTGGGCGACAGAGCGAGACTCTGTCTCAAAAAAAAAAATAAATAAATAGAGACAGAGTCTCACTATGTTGTCCAGGTTGGTCTCAAACTCCTGGGCTCAAGCAATCTTCCTGCCTCAGCCTCCCAAAGTGCTGGAATTACAAGCGGGAGCCACCATGCCCAGCCTGTGTCCCTTCTTAGTTGAGGCTGGATTGGGAACATCAGTTGGTCCTCCCCGATTCGAGCACAGCTGAAAACCACCTCTAGAGGTGAGAACACCAGAGATGGGCCCAGGAGCAGAAAGATGGGTGATGGCTGGAAGGCCACCATGGATCTGCAGCCCCTGGCTGGTGGGCACAGCAGCAGGTACTGCCCAGGGTAGCCATCCCCTCCTCACCTGCAATGATGAACCAGTTCATGTAATTCAGGAGGTTGATGTAGCAGAGGACGGCGGCAGCCACGTAGGCCCTCCACGGGGGCAGGCTCCAGGAGGTGGGCGTGATGGGAGGGGGACACTGCCTGCCTGGCCCTGGGGACTGGCCCTGCAGACCTCCTGGCCCAGGCTCAGGGCACTCCGCTGACATCCCCCCAGCCATGCCAGCCTGCAGCTCTTGGCCTGAGACTGGCGCCAGGATGAAGCAACATTAGCTCAGCACGAAGTCACTTCCTGTGGGGTCCCAGGCTCCAAACCTCAAAGCACCTGCCCTAACTGTTGGGCGTCTTATCGCAGGTTCCTCCTGACCCCACGGCAGCTTCACCAGTGCGATTTCCCCATCGTCAGCCTCTGAGACCTGCTACGGAGGACAAGGGCTCCTGGCACCCCCACCCTGGGGACTGGACAACTCTGTGGTCCCCTTGATCTAGCCTGCAGCTTCAGTGGCTGCAGTGAGGAAGGGAAGCTTCCAGGGCAGGAAATGAGATGAGCCTCCCAGAGTGCTGCTTGCTGTGAGATGGTCTAGCTGCCCGTACGGGACTGTGAACCAATGCCTTGAAGCCGGGGCAAATGAGGAAGGCTGGGCATTGGCCAGGACAGCAGCATTGCACTCGACTGCCAGGCAGGATGAGCACCTACCCAGGATCTAAGGTCCTTCCCGGAAAAACAAAGGTAGCAGAGGGGGCTGCCTACAAGAAGACAGCCTGTGTGCAAAACTCATCAGTGGGGGCTAAATCTGGGGGGAAGACTTCAGTGAGGGGGGAGGGTGTCAGCACGGTCACGAAGCATCTCTTGATAGATTGCTTATTAGTAACAAAAGGAAAAAGAGTAACTATACAGTAGAGGAATCAGACATCTTGACCAAGGGGTTAAAATAAATCACCTGTGAGAGGCAGGAGGGTGTCGTGTGCCTCCAGATGTGAAGGTCTTCGCAGGTCACAGCATCATCTATGTGGCATTCCAGCCAGGAAGGCACAACCGGAATCTCATCATGAGAAGACATCAGCCAGACGCGGTGGCTCGCACCTGTAATCCTAACACTGGGAGGCCAAGACAGGAGGATCATCCAAGCCCAGAAGTTTGTGACCAGCCTGGGCAACATGGTGAAACCCCATTGCTACAAAAATACCAAAAAAATAAAAAATTTTAAAAAAAAATAGCCGGGTGTAGTGGTGTGCGTCCACAGTCCCAGCTACTTGGGAGGCTGAGGTAGGAAGGATCGCCTTAGCCTGGGAAGTCGAGGCTGCAGTGAGCCATGTTCGTGCCACTGCACTCCAGGCTGGGTGACAAAGCAAGACCCCAACTCAAAAAAAAAAATTTTTTTTTTAATTTTTAAAATGAAAAAACATCAGACAAGCCCAAATTGAGAAACACTATTTCTTTAAAGGGACTGTATATTGAAAAATGTCAGAGTCATGAAAGACTAAGAAAGACTGAGGGAGCTAGGCGTGGTGGCTCACGCTTGTTATCCCAGCACTTTGGGAGGCCGAGGCAGGTGGATCACCTGAGGTCGGGAGTTCAAGATCAGCCTGACCAATGTGGAGAAACCCCGTCTCTACTAAAAATACAAAACTAACTAGGCATGGTGGCAGGTGCCTGTAATCTCAGCTACTCGGGAGGCTGAGGCAGGAGAATTGCTTGAACCCGGGAGGCACAGGTTGTGGTGAGCCAAGATCACGCCATTACACTCCAGCCTGGGCAACAAGAGCAAAACTCTGTCTCGAAAAAAAAAAAATATTCTGAGGGACTGTTTTGGATTAAAAGCAACAAAGAGACAAGATAGGCCAGGCGCGGTGGCTCATGCCTGTAATCCCAGCACTTTGGGAGGCCCAGGCGGGCGGATCACGAGGTCAGGAGTTCGAGACCAGTCTGGCCAACATAGTGAAACCCTGTCTCTACTAAAAATACACAAAAAAGTAGCTGGGTGTGGTGGTGTGCACCTGTAGTCCCAGCTACTCAGGAGGCTGAGGCAGGAGAATCATGTGAACCCGGGAGGCAGAGGTTGCAGTGAGCCAAGATCGTGCCACTGCACTCTAGCCTGGGTGACAGAACAAGACTCCGTCTCAAAAAAAAAAAAAAAAAAAAGAGAGACAAGACAATAAGACAATTAAGAGCAGTACAGGATCCCAACCTCGCTCCTGTACTGGATCAACTGATAAAACTGGATCAGGAAGAAATAGCATATCAGCATCTGTGAACTATGGTTATGTAAGTAAATAAGTAAATATCCTTATCTGAAGTATCTAGAGGTACAGGGCCATGATTTATGCCACTCATTCTCAAACGGTTCAGGAAAAAATATTAGATATGTATAGTAAGAAAACAAATGGGGCAAATATTAATAATAGATGAATCTGGGTAAAGATTATAAGAGTTTCTTTACGCTATATGATAAACTTTCTATAAGTTATAAATTATATCTAAACAAAAAGTTAAAGCATAAAATGACAAACCAATTTAAAAATGGGTGAAGAGCCGGGCATAGTGGCATGGACCTGTAGTCCCAGCTACTCTGGAGGCTGAGGTGGAAGGATCACTTAAGCCTGGGAGGTTGAGGCCACAGTGAGCTATAATCATGCCACTGTACTCCAGCTTGGGCAACAGAGTGAGATCCCATCTCTAAAGAAAAAAAACATCAGGGGGACAAAAATGGGCCAAGGAGTTGAACAGACATTTCTCTGAAGATATACAGGTGACCGACAAGCACATAAAAAGATGTTCAGGCTGGGCACAGTAGCTCACGCCTGCAATCCCAGCACTTTAGGAGGCTCAGGTGGGTGGATCACAAGGTTGGGAGTTCGAGACCAGCCTGGCCAACATAGTGAAACTCCATATCTACTAAAAATACAAAAATTAGCTGGGCGTGGTGGCATGTGTCTGTAATCCCAGCTATTTAGGAGGCTGAGGCAGGAGAACTGCTTGAACCCGGGTGGCAGAGGTTGCGGTGAGCTGAGATCACACCACTGCACTCTAGCCTGGGTGACAGAGCGAGACTTCATCTCGGGGGAAAAAAAAAAAAAGAAAGAAAAATGTTCAACATCACAAGTCATTAGGAAAATGGCAGATTGAAGCCACCATAAGATATCAGTTCGTACCCACTAAGACGGCTATAATTTTAAAAAGAGAGAGAGAGGAAATAACAAATGTTGGTGGAGAGATTGAAAGCCTCATGCATTGCTGGGAATGTGGAGTAAGGCAGCCGCAGTGGAACAAAGTTTGGCAGTTCCTCCAAAGGTTAAACATAAAATTACCATATGGCCCTGCAATTCCAATCCTAGGTATATATCCAAAAGAACTGAAAACAGGCCAGGTACAGTGGCTCACACCTGTAATCCCAGCACTTTGGGAGGCCGAGGCAGGTGGATCACGATGTCAGGAGTTCAAGACCAGCCTGGCGAAGACAGTGAAACCCTGTCTCTACTAAAACTACAAAAAAATTATCCAGGCACGGTGGCAGGCGCCTGTAATCCCAGCTACTCGGGAGGCTGAGGCAGGAGAATCACTTGAACCCAGGTGGCAGAGATTGCAGTGAGCCTACATTGCACCACTGCACTCCAGCCCGGGTGACAGAGTAAGACTCTGTCTCAAAAAAAAAAAAAAAAAAAAAAAGAATTGAAAACAAAGAC